>NW_021160006.1:0-170928 GCF_000001405.40 Homo sapiens
TCAACCAGCCTGGCCAACATGGTGAAACCCTGTCTCTACTAAAAGTACAAAAATTAGTCGGGTGTAGTGGCAGGTACCTGTAATCCCAAGTACTTGGGGGGTTGAGGCAGGAGAATCACTTGAAGCCGGGAGGTGGAGGCTGCAGTGAGCCGAGATCGTGCCACTGCACTCCAGCCTGGGCAACGGAGTGAGACTTCATCATGGAAAAAAAAACAAAGAGGCCAGGATGTCTGGTTGTTACTGCCACTGTTTCACATATCCCTGAAGGACCTGCCCAATGCTAAAGAAACACAAGGAAGGTAAGAGGTGAAAGAGAAGAAATGAAACTATCATTGTTTGAAGATGACACCATCTTTTACATAGAAAACCTGTTAGAATCAAATGGCAAGCTATTAGAACTACTAAGAGAATTCAGTGAGGCTGCTGTATTCATGGCAAAATTTTAACAATTGATAGCATTTCTCTGCAACATTCCTTAATAGTTATAAAATACAGCACAAAGTAGTACCAAAAATATTAACTATCTAGGAAATAACCTCTTACAGAGAAAATTTAGTCTGTTAAAGGATAAACAGTGGCAATGTACGTCATGTCCACAGAGATTATATTTTAGCTTAGCAAAGATACCAATTCTCCCAAATTTATTTATAAATTAAATGCAATGTGAATCAAAATTTCCCACTGGAATTTTTATCAGGAAGGCAACAAATTCTTTCTTTCTTTCTTTCTTTCTTTCTTTATTTATTTATTTATTTATTTATTTATTTATTTCCTTCCTTCCTTCCTTCCTTCCTTCCTTCCTTTCTTTCTTTCTTTCTTTCTTTCTTTCTTTCTTTCTCTCTCTCTTTCTCTCTCCCCCCCTCTCTCTCTCTCTGTCTCTCTCTCTCTCTCTTTCTTTCTTTCTTTCTTTCTTTCTTTTTAAGACAAAGTCTGGCTCTGTCACCCAGGCTGCAGTGCAGTGATACAATCTCAGCTCACTGAAACCTCAACCTCTCCGGCATCAGGTGAACCTCCCACCTCAGCCCCCCGAGTAGCTGGGACTACAGGTGCACACCACTGGGCCTAGATAACTTTTTGTATTTATTGTAAATAAACACAAAAAATAAATATTTTGCTCAGGTTGGTCTGGAACTCCTGGGCTCAAGCAATCCGCCTGCCTTGGCCTCCCAAAGTGCTAGAATTACAGTTGTGAGCCACCACACCCAGCCAATAAATTAATTCTTTATGATGAATAAGTTATCTATGAAAATTAAGTCAGCTGGGTGCGGTGGCTCACGCCTGTAATCCCAGCACTTTGCCGGGCTGAAGCAGGTGGATCACCTGAGGTTGGGAGTTCAAGACCAGCCGGACCAACATAGAGAAAACCCGTCTCTACTAAAAATGCAAAATTAGCTGGGTGTGGTGGCATATGCCTGTAATCCCAGATACTTAGGAGGCTGAGGCAGGAGAATTGCTTGAACCCGGGCGGTGGAGGTTGCGGTGAGCCAAGATTGCACCATTGCACTCCAGCCTGGGCCACAAGAGCGAAACTCCATCTCAAAAAAAAAAAAAGAGAAGTTAAGTCAATGAAAAGTTAAGTCAATTAAAAAAGTAAGAGCTGTAGTGTTTAGATATATACACACACACATATATATATATTTATCTTTATATATGTATATATATCTTTTCCTTTTTTTGAGACCGAGTCTGTTTTTGTTGCCCAGGCTGGAATGCAGTGGCGCGATCTCTGCTTACTGCAACCTCTGCCTCCCAGGTTCAAGCGATTCTCGTGCCTCAGCCTCCCGAGTAGCTGGGATTACAGGTGCCTGCCCCCATGCCCGGCTAATTTTTGCATTTTTAGTAGAGACGGGGTTTCACCATGTTGGCCAGGCTGGTCTCAAACTCCTGACCTCAGGTGATCCACCGGCCTCAGCCTCCCAAAGTGCTGGGATTACAGGTGTGAGCCACCGCGCCCAGCCATATATTTTGCTTTTCATCTGCAGCTCCTGGATCCTAACTCCTTGTTATATTGTTGGGCACTTTAGGCCTCAGTAAACAGAATCTCTGTCTATGACCTTCTCCTGTCCTTCTTCCACCTGCCCAAAGCAGGACTCTAATTTGATTGTGGGTCAAAAGACTCTCATTCCAGAAAGGGCCTTGCCTCATACCCTAGAGGAAGGAATGCTGCACAGAAACGCCAAGTCTGAACAGACAAGCCTTGCTGGGTTTATACCATATGCTTTTTGTCCAATCACATTTCTTCATGGTTGCCAATCATGCCTATGTAATGAAGCCTCCATAAGAACCCAGAAGGACAGGGTTCAGAGAGTTTCCACATAGCTGAACACTATCTGGAGAGTGAACACTTCCTAGAGAGTGGCACACCCAGAGAGATCATGAAAGCTCCACGCCCCTTTCCCCTTACCTCGCCCTCCACATCTCTTCATCTGTATCTTTCATAATATCCTTTATAAATAAACCAGCAAATGTGTTTCCCTGAGTTATGTGAGTCACTCTAGCAAATTAATCGAACCCAAAGAGGGGGTCATGGGAACCCCAACTTGAAGCCAGTCAGTCAGAAGTTCCAGAGGCCCAGACTTGCAACTGGGGAGAAAGAGGGGGAGGTCTTGGGGACTGAGCCCCCAACCTGTGGGATCTGACACTGTCTCCAGGTAGGTAGTGTTGGAACTGCATTGGAGGACACTCCTGGTGTCTGCTGCTTGGTGTGTGGGGGGAAAAACCCACACCTTTGGTTACGGAGGTCTTCTGTGTTGACGATCATTGCTGTTTGAGGGCAGAGGGAATACACGGTTTGAGAGAGTTTTTCCCTGACATGAGCGAACAGGGGACATGTACTGGTCTCTGAGATGGGGGATCATGGGATCTGCCACAAGTGGGGAGACCACTGTGACCCCTGCCACAGTCTTTGGGGCAGAGGGTGTCTCGGGGGCAGAAGAAGCGAGAGTTGTTTGCAGTAGCAGTTATGTCCAAAGTGGGCGCCAGGAAAGTAGGGCTGCCCAGCTTTGAAGAGCCTCCTTACTCCCAGCCTGAATGAAACCATTTCCTGTAAAGCGCTAAGCATAAAGTTTGCCAATGGTGATCCACGGAGAAGTGAGTGTACCCCACCCCGCCATCCCACAGGGAATGTCGGAGTGATGTTGATCTGCACCTAGGGAAGGAATGGTTCATGAGATGTGGTGGAGATGCTGAGGGCCCGTGGACATCAGATCCTACCCTACCTGTGCCAGGACAAGCCATGCGCATGTGCTTCAGACCACCAGGCAACAGGAGTGTTGCATGAGGTGTGAAGCAGGCACCTGGGAAAGAGGAGTGTGAACAGCAGATGGGACACACTGGGGGCAGTCATAGGAATGAAATGTCCCAGGATGGATGCAGGCAGGTTATGGAGGACTTAGTGAGGACTGCTCTCCTGGTGGGAATTGTGGAGTGGGAGACTGGATGGAGACTGGAGGTGTTTTAAGTAGGGAAGCCAACTTGCAAGGGTGACCAGGGAAACTATGTCGGCCAAGGGTGAGACATGCACTGGCAAGACTCTCAGACAGCCTGGCTTATCTAAGCAGAATGCTTGAGCCATGCCAACGGTGCCTCGCAAGTTGTATTAATCATGTCCTTTCATTTTGTGTTTTTGGTGCTTGGCATCTGGGCCCTTGCTGACCCTAAGGGACCATTTCTCTCAGAGCTAGTCAAGTCCTAGACACAGTAAATGACTCTCCTGGGAGCATGCCTTCCATGTGCAGACCAACCAATCAAGAGTCCACACTCCCACCCACCTCCTTTATCGAGCTCTCACATCCTGGGGCACCATCCACCTGCCCTAATCACTCAAGGACCACGTCCCAAACAACTAGGGACAGCCTCCATGCCCCTGCACCCATTGAAATTATTCATGCTAGCCAATCCTAAACCTGTGTATGCTGCCACACCATTCCTTCCTGCAGAAACACAGTAAGGACTCTTCCTACACCTCCCCTACTTCCTCTGCTCCCTGACTTACCCACTTACTTCCTGGTGCAGTCCCCTGTGGCATAGTTCACTCTCTTCTTTTGGGAACTGTGAGGCTATCTTCTCAATGGCAGTCATCTCCTGAGCTGTTGGCCTTGCCATACCTAACTAATAATAAAATCTATATTCTAAGGTAAAAACAAAACAGATAGGGTCTCACTCTGTTGCCCAGGCTGGAGTACAGTGGTGTGATCATGACTCACTGCAGCCTCAAACTCCTGGGCTCAAGCAGTTCTCTCATCTCAACCTCCCGAGTAGCTGGGACTACAGGCACACACCACCATGCCTGGCTAGTTTTCTTATTTTTTTTGTAGATACAGGGTCTTGTTATGTTGCCAAGGCTGGTCTTGAACTCCTGGGCTCAAGTGATCCTCCTGCCTTGGCCTCCCAAACTGCTGCAATTACAGGCATGAGCCACCATGCCCAGATCAGAAATCTTACTAAAAATATTTCAAGGAGAAGAGAAAGCCAAAGATGTTGAATATATATATATGTGTGTGTGTGTGTGTGTATATATATGTATATATGTGTATATATGTGTGTATATATATATGTATATATGTATATATATATGTATATATGTATATATATATGTATATTGGGGCAGGCGTGGTGGCTCATGCCTGTGGTCCTAACTACTTGAGAGTCTGAGGTGGGAGGATTGCTTGAGCCTGGGAGATCGAGGCTGCTGTGAGCTGAGACTACACCACTGCACTCCAGCTTGGGTGACAGAGTGAGACCCTGTCTCCAAAAAAACAAAAAGAAAAAGAAAAAAAGATGGAAAAAGACATGAAAAAACAACAACAGAAATACCCACACATCATCAATGGGAGGGAAGCATCTTGAGGCAGCAAAGCGGGAGTGCTAGTAGAGAGGCAGATAGGGCGTTGGACCTGAGGCATTAAGGAAAGTCAGGATTTGGAGCTTACAAGTCTCTCATTGGAGATGGGATGGGGTTGGAATGAATGTCTGAGCAAACACAAAGCATTTCCTTCCCTAATGACTCCCCACCAGTCTAAAGAAT
Source organism: Homo sapiens (assembly GCF_000001405.40). Lineage (NCBI taxonomy): Eukaryota > Metazoa > Chordata > Mammalia > Primates > Hominidae > Homo > Homo sapiens. Next base: position 5,027 of record NW_021160006.1, read on the forward strand.
CCCACATTAGGTCGAACACGGTGGCTCACGCCTGTAATCCCAGCACTTTGGGAGGCCAAGGCGGGTGGATCACGAGGTCAGGAGATCGAGACCATCTTGGCTAACATGGTGAAACCCCGTCTCTACTAAAAATACAAAAAAATTAGCCGGGCGTCATGGTGGGCGCCTGTAGTCCCAGCTACTCGGGAGGCTGAGGCAGGAGAATGGTGTGAACCCGGGAGGCAGAACTTGCAGTGAGCCTAGATCGCGCCACTGCACTCCAGCCTGGGGGACAAAACGAGACTCTGTCTCAAAAAAAAAAAAAAAAATTCCCACATTAGAGTTGGGGAAATGGGCAGTCCTGGTGGAAGTTAGGGAACAGATCTGGGACACGTTATAGCCAGCTGGACTACAGGAGGCCATAAGCTCAATTCTTCCTTGACTCTGAAACCTTCCACTGGTCCTAATGCCTAGTAATTCCAGGCCTTTCCCAGTTGTGCCAGGCTTGGAGGTGAACACATCTATGTGCCAAGAAGGAAAGGTATGCCAAGCAGGGGCTTAAGTCATCCTTATCCTCAGTCTGTCTATGAGTGGTATGTACCCCTGTTCCCCTTGCAAGATCTGCTGGGCTTAGGTCTCCTGGCTGTGAGTTCCCCATACCTGGGCATAAATGTAGTGAGCCTGAGCTCCCAAATAAGGTTGGGGGCTCCAGAGAGGTGGAGAGCCCTGTGTCTGGGAAGTGTGCCCACCCAGCAGGTCTGACCAGGAAGATACACTGCTAGGGTTATGGAAAAAGACTATGTGTCAAGGTCTCTTGATTCTCCATCTAGGCAGAGAATCATCTTTAATTAATGGGAAACTGGAAGGCAAATTACTTGGACCTGAAATTACTTTTTGTTTATTGAACCACTGTGTTGTAAATCACATCTCTCTGAAGGCAAGAGAAATCAGGGAGTTACAAAATGTTTAGGAGAACTAAACAGGACTCCCTGTTTTGCTAACTAATCAGATTGAGACAGGCTCTCTGGTAAATCTACAAATTTGATGTTGTTCAACCATAAGCAGTAAATTTCCTATGCTGGATTTTCCTGACAATGAATGTAAAAGGAAAAGGAGTCTTTTTGACAAAATATTTTATTGTTCATCTAAACTGAAAAACTTCTCTATTTTTCAAAATTGCTATACGTGTTTAAAGATGTAGATATTTGAATAGCCTAACTGGTACAGAAGGTTTAATGATGATTCCTAAGACATACCTATAAATTACTTGAAATTGAAACGAAATTTAAGAAGAATTATTGGAATTTTCCCCTTCTCAAATGAGTTCTTAGTTTCATAAATACTATACAAGTCCATAAGAGATTTGGGGTTTTGAGATGTCTTTTTTTTTTTTTTTTTTTCAGACGGAGTTTCACTGTTGTTGCCTAGGCTGGAGTGCAATGGCGTGACCTCAGCTCACTACAACCTCCACCTCCCAGGTTCAAGCGATTTTCCTGCCTCAGCCTCCCAAGTAGCTGGGATTACAGGGACCTGCCACAACGCCAAGCTAATGTTTTGTATTTTTAGTAGAGATGGGGTTCACCATGTTGGCCAGGCTTGTCTGGAACTCCTGACCTCAGGTGATCCACCCGCCTATAATTTATTACTCCCTTTTGCAAATGTTTGAAAAGGAATAAAGTGCAATATTTTTAAACAGAATGCAGAGTTCTGTTGTCCTTTGGCAATACCAGTTTCAGACTCTGAGAGTGGCTCTTGCTGTTGCCGACAGTGGGCTGATGACCAAATCCCAACATGCCCCCGCTGCGAGTCCTTCATAACCTGATTCAGTCATCACTTAGAGGCCAGCAGGCTTCAGGGAGGCGTGAGCCTCAGCCAACAACCTATAGGGGAAGAGACGCAGAACTCAATGCAGACAGGTTTGGATTCTGGTGCCTAGAGAATGCAACTTGGAAACTCTGAGCCAGGAGAAAAGGGTTCTCTCTCCATGAGAGAGTGTGGGCTTTGTGAGAAGCGACACACAGCAAACACAATTAAGAGTCCACCCCTCAGCGGGGCGCAGGGGCTCACGCCTGTAATCCCAGCACTTTGGGAGGCCGAGGCGGGTGGATCACGAGGTCAGGAGATCAAGACCATCCTGGCTAACACAGTGAAACCCTGTCTCTACTAAAAATACAAAAAAATTAGCCGGGCGTGGTGGCGGGCGCCTGTGGTCCCAGCTACTCGGGAGGCTGAGGCAGGAGAATGGTGTGAACCCGGGAGGTGGAGCTTGCAGTGAGCCGAGATCGCGCCACTGCACTCCAGCCTGGGCGACAGAGCGAGACTCCATCTCAAAAAAAAAAAGAAAAAGAAAAAGAAAAAGAGTCCGCCCCTGAATTAAATAGTTGGTCCTTTTGTGTTCCTGGTGATTCACTTGCTAAGTGGAAGAAACAGGAGGGAATCTTTTCTCCTGCCCTCCTGGTAATCCATAGCCCATGGCCTGGCTTTACTTCTGTAAAGTGGCAGGAGACCTTTTGACAGCTGAGCCATTTCTTATTTTATTTATTTTAATAAGAGATGGTAGGAATGAGCAATGATATTAGTACCTGGGGACTGTTGTTCTTAAGGAGAAACAATCTTAGAATGATTAGTGATACCCCTTGCTTTCTCTTTTCTTTCATTATACTTTTTGTACACATATTTTTCCCATTTATTTATTGGAATCTTACTGATTTATTATAAGTATAAGCTTTATGTCTACACATGTATAATCATTTTTCCCCAAGTATAAGTCTCTTTTTCATGGAGGCACAGCCTAGACCTGGTTAGCCGCCATCTCCCCTCATTGTATGCCCAATATCTATTGTAGTATCTGCTGCATAGAAGGCACTCGATGCGTGAATGGATAATGACTGATGATGAATCAATAAATAAATGGACATGTCATTGTAAAAAATTCTAAAAATCTAGAATAACACAAGCTGTTGGCACTACCTAGAAACACAGATGTAAAACTTCCTAGGTTGTGTTTCACCATGGGAACATGTCTTTGAACAAAAATGGGATCATATTCTATTGCACTCTTTCCCTTAAGAGATACTTCTCCAGGTCATTAAGTGCTCTTCCACAATATCAGTATATGGCAGAGGCAAGGTCATACCAGGTCTGTCTGAAACCAGGGCTTGGCTCTTAACTTGCAGCCATACTGCCTCCAAGTCTAGGTGGCTGGGTTTTAGGATCTGTAATGGGAACTCAGTGTCACAACCTCTACTGGGAAGGTATTCTGGTGTTGCATAACAGGACTTTCTGTTAGAGATAACCATGGCAAAATGGAATAGAGACAAAGTTCAGGTTTCTGCTGCCAGGAGCTGAGATTGCTGTGACCAATGGCATTCTCCCAAACCAAATAATCCAACCTGGAATTACCATAAACCACTCCTCATCTTTTCAAGGGGTGTCCAAGTTCCCAGAAAAGAACATTTGTTAAGGGATGGAGGCAAGGAGGTGGAGAAGAAAGAGCACTGGCCAAGGTATCATGAGTGTCCTGGGTTCTGGTCCTTGAATAAGCCATTTATCTTCTCTGCAGCTTCTCCATCTGATAGGAGTTTGGAGGCAGAGTTTTTTCTTAATGAGCAAAAGACAGTCGTGCCTAGGAGATGTGGTGTACATGTTAGAAAGAAGGGACTGGCTGTGACTCTATAAAAGATGAATTCATACAAAAACAAATTACCCTTTCCCAGGGAGAAAGTTTGGATCCAGTAATTAGAGATCTCAAAAAGTAGAAGACCTGCCCTGTGAGGCCTGTGGCCTCCAAGTTTGAATGCTGTGTGTCAGCTTTAAAAACTAGTTTCTTGCTGATAAATGTTTCATATTAAGCATGTGTTGAGAGTACTCCTTGCCTACCTTCACTAGCCACTGTTTCCTTCCCCTCCTCCCTTGTCCCTTCATTCTCTCCAGAACTTTCTGCTAACTTCCATTCTCTTCAGGACTTCAGCATGGTTGGGAGAAGATCAGAAAGGCATCCTCACTGTTTTTATTTTAGTCCACTTGACCTTTGGGGAGTAGTTCCACTGGCTCATAAGTATCAGCCCCCCATAGCACAGCACCCCACACTGAGCCCGGAAGCAATAAAGAATCCCAATCTGCTGTCACTAACCAGCACGCTCAACTGCCATGCCCTTTACTCTTCTCATCTCCCTGCTTTCACGTCACACCAACTAATTTCTCTATGAGTCAGCCTCAACTCTCCCAACACTCTGCCCACCCTTCTTCTACTACCTTCCAGTGAGCTCCTCGAAAGAAGGGTCTGCGGTGAGGATGCCCCTTTATCTCTGCCTATTTCCTTCCCATTACAAAAACTTGAAACCTGCCTTTCCCATGTTGATTTCACTTTATTCTCATCTTTACCCATGGGGTATGCCTCCTGCAATTCCTCCTAGACAATAGAATGAGAAAGAGGGGTCCTCGTCCTCTTTGCTTTCCATGACCATTTCTCCATTCTTCACCTCTGTGATGTGTCCTCTTTGAAGTCCCTGATAAATTCATTACCACCTTCTCTCCAGTCTTACTAATGTTATCTGCACAAGTGATTTCCAAACAGGAAGATTTTCAAACACTGATTCCTGAAGATCACCCCCAACTCGCTGAACTGAGACCAAGACCTCCAAGATTATGGCTTAGGAATCTGCATTTTTTTTTTTTTTTTGAGACAAGAGTCTCGCTCTGTTGCCAGGCTAGAGTGCAATGGTGGAATCATAGCTCATTGTAACCTCAAACTCCTGGGCTCAAGTGATCTTCCTGCCTCAGCCTCCCAAGTAGTGAGGACAACAGGAGTGTGCCACCATGCCCAGCTAATTGTTAATTTTTTGTAGAAATGGAGTCTCACTATGTTGCTCGGGCTGGTCTCAAACTCCTGACCTTAACCCATCCTCCGCCTCCGCCCCCAAAAGTGTTGGGATTACAGGTGTGAGCCACCGTGCCCAGCCTAGAAATACCCACTAGAAGCTTCTGTGTAGACAATCTGCTTAGTGATGTTTGGAGACAAAGTACCTCTTTATTGTATTCATTGACAAAACTCTCCAGTCCTCTCCCATCTTCATGGAAAATTTTCACAGTTCATTTACGGCCCTCTTTCCAACACATTCACTGCCAATACTCTTATTGACAATAACTGTATTGTTGAACCTTCCAGTATCCTGCATTCCCGGATCAAGGCCCCCTCAAAGCCCTGATATGCAAATATCTGGGAAAAGAATGTTCCAGAGGAAAGGAACAGCTAATCCGAGGCCCCTAGGGTAAGATGTGCCTGGGGGTTTGGAGACCAGTGTGGCCAGAGCAAAATGAGCAGGAGGAGAGAATTGGATGATGAGGTACGAGAGGAAGGAGTTAGGACAGTTTGAGTAAAGTTTGAAAACCATTATAAGGGCTTTGACTTCAACTATGAGTGGAAGTGGAATCCTCCGGAGAGTTTTGAATGGAGAGTGATAGAAGTTGTCTTGTGTTGTAACAGTCTGGCTGCTATACTGAAAAGAGACTAGTTGGCGGCAAAGGGGGAAATGTGGAAGCCAGTTAAGAAGCCATCATAACCCAGAAGGTGATGCCTAATAACATCTCTCTGGGAGCAGCGGAGAGATGATAAGGGTTTGCCTTCTGAATATGTTTTTTGACAATTAATGTAAACATTTCAAGTAGGCTGAGATTTTATTGCATATTAACAATGTCCATGTTCACTCGCGGCAGCCGCCCCCTTCTGCGCGGTCATGCCGAGCCAGCACCTGGGCCTGGAACTGGGCCGCAGCCCCCAGCTTCACCCACCACCTCCCTACCATGGACCCCTGCAAAGTGAACGAGCTTCGGGCCTTTGTGAAAATGTGTAAGCAGGATCCGAGCGTTCTGCACACCGAGGAAATGCGCTTCCTGAGAGAGTGGGTGGAGAGCATGGGAGGTAAAGTACCACCTGCTACTCAGAAGGCTAAATCAGAAGAAAATACCAAGGAAGAAAAACCTGATAGTAAGAAGGTGGAGGAAGACTTAAAGGCAGACGAACCATCAACTGAGGAAAGTGATCTAGAAATTGATAAAGAAGGTGTGATTGAACCAGACACTGATGCTCCTCAAGAAATGGGAGATGAAAATGTGGAGATAACGGAGGAGATGATGGATCAGGCAAATGATAAAAAAGTGGCTGCTATTGAAGTCCTAAATGATGGTGAACTCCAGAAAGCCATTGACTTATTCACAGATGCCATCAAGCTGAATCCTCGCTTGGCCATTTTGTATGCAAAGAGGGCCAGTGTCTTCGTCAAATTACAGAAGCCAAATGCTGCCATCCAAGACTGTGACAGAGCCATTGAAATAAATCCTGATTCAGCTCAGCCTTACAAGTGGCGGGGGAAAGCACACAGACTTCTAGGCCACTGGGAAGAAGCAGCCCATGATCTTGCCTTTGCCTGTAAATTGGATTATGATGAAGATGCTAGTGCAATGCTGAAAGAAGTTCAACCTAGGGCACAGAAAATTGCAGAACATTGGAGAAAGTATGAGCGAAAACATGAAGAGCGAGAGATCAAAGAAAGAATAGAACGAGTTAAGAAGGCTCAAGAAGAGCAGGAGAGAGCCCAGAGGGAGGAAGAAGCCAGACGACAGTCAGGAGCTCACTATGGCCCTTTTCCAGGTGGCTTTCCTGGTGGAATGCCTGGTAATTTTCCCGGAGGAATGCCTGGAATGGGAGGGGACATGCCTGGAATGGCCGGAATGCCTGGACTCAATGAAATTCTTAGTGATCCAGAGGCTCTTGCAGCCATGCAGGATCCAGAAGTTATGGTGGCCTTCCAGGATGTGGCTCAGAACCCAGCAAATATGTCAAAATACCAGAGCAACCCAAAGGTTATGAATCTCATCAGTAAATTGTCAGCCAAATTTGGAGGTCAAGCATAATGCCCTTCTGATAAATAAAGCCCTGCTGAAGGAAAAGCAACCTAGATCACCTTATGGATGTCGCAATAATACAAACCAACGTACCTCTGACCTTCTCATCAAGAGAGCTGGGGTGCTTTGAAGATAATCCCTACCCCTCTCCCCCAAATGCAGCTGAAGCATTTTACAGTGGTTTGCCATTAGGGTATTCATTCAGATAATGTTTTCCTACTAGGAATTACAAACTTTAAACACTTTTTAAATCTTCAAATATTTAAAACAAATTTAAAGGGTCTGTTAATTCTTATATTTTTCTTTACTAATCATTGTGGATTTTTCCTTAAATTATTGGGCAGGGAATATACTTATTTATGGAAGATTACTGCTCTAATTTGAGTGAAATAAAAGTTATTAGTGCGAGGCAAACATAAAAAAAAAAAGTCCATGTTCATCTCTAAATGACATCATTGTTCCAAAGCTTTTCCATTCTTCTTAACCTTCCACCTGTCAATCTATAGGAGATGACTTCTCCTACTTCACTCATGCATTGACTCCTTCAATCAATAAAAGTGACTAAGAACCTGCTACAGGTGAGGTGCTGTGTTTGGTGTTAAAGTGACAACAGTTATCTGTCAATAAGCCTGACAAGGTTCCTATCCCTGTGTTTTGTGCACTCTGGGTCAAACTCAGAAATGCAAACAGGTGGAGAGCGATGAGTTCTATGACTGGTAAAGAAAAGGGCCTGCTGGTTTCCCTCAGGATCTCTGTCCTTCATCTCAAAATGCATCTTCCTTGTTATCGTTCCTCTCCTTCCTGTCTCAGAGGAAGACCTGCTCCTGCTACACTCTGGGCAACCTTGTCCCCGTGGCCCTGTGGCCCCTTGGTTGTTGAAGTCTATGTTATGCCCTATCTTTTACCCTCAGTCACTCTCTCTGTTAACATTCTCCCTGTGCCCTGTAACCCTCCCTCATCTTTAAATAAATCCTCCTCCTTTGACCTTCGCATGTATTCAGTCATGCAACTCAACAAGCATTTATTGCACAGTGATATTCAATTTGCCACTTGCTAAAAGTCTGAACCTTGGCAGCTGAATGTGATCAGAAAAAAAGCACGACTGCTATGACTAGTCTCACTTTAAATTCATGGTCGTTGACCAAGAGCTACCATACAATCCACTACCTTTCTCAAGTTCAGTCACATTCTTCCTTTCCTAGATGTCTGCTTTCTACTTCTCTTCTCTTCTGAAACTTCCCACAACTCCTCGTTCATTCTCTTCTCAGTTGACAACTTTGCTTCCTATTTCACTGAAAAATAGAAGCAATCAGATATGAACTTCTGGCTGGGCATGGTAGCTCATGCCTATAATCTCAGCACTTTGGGAGGCCAAGGCAGGAGGACTGCAGGTTAGGAATTTGAGACCAGCCTGGGCAACATGGTGAAACTCCCACTGTACTAAAAATTTTAAAAATTACTCAAACATATTGGCAAACAACTGCAGTCCCAGCTACTTGGGAGGTTGAGATGCAAGGATCACTTAAACCTGGGAGGCTGAGGCTGCAGTGAGCCATGATTGCACCACTGCACTCCAGCTCAGGCAACAGAGCAAGACCCTGTCTTGAGAGGAGAGGAGAAGAGAGGAGGGGAGGGGAGGGCAGGGGAGGGGAGGGGAGGGGAAGGGAGAGGGGAGGGGAGAGGGGAGGAGAGAGGGGAGGGGAGGGGAGGGGAGGGGAGGGGAGGAGAGGAGGATCAGGTGAGGAGTATGCCAAGGAGTGTTTTTAAGACTTACTGTTTTCTCTTTCCCAACAAGATTGTCATTTCCTTTAAAAAGTAGTTATCCTGAGGCCTATATTCATAGCATTCTGAAAGAAAGAAAAGAAAAGAGGAAAGAAAGAGAGAGGAAGGAAGGAAGGAGAAAGAGAGAGGAAGGAAGGAGAAAGAGAGAGGAAGGAAGGGAGGAAGAGAAGAAGGGAGGAAGAAAAGAAGGAAGGAAGGAGGGAGGGAGGGAAGGGAGGGAGGGAAAGAGGAAGAAAGGAGGGAAAGAAGGAAGGAAGAGAGAGAGGAAGGAAGGAGGAAGAGAGAAGAAGGAAGGAGGAAGACAGAGAGGGAGTAAGGAAGGAAGGAAGGAGAAAGAGAGAGGAAGGAAGAAATGAAGGAAGGAAGGAAAGAAAGAAAAAATAAAAGAGTGAAAACGGACTGGAGAAGAAGAAACCACAGTTGCTGCTATATCCACCAGCCTCTCTGCATGTCCTGGCCTCAGCCCTGCTGGGCTCTGGTACTGACCACTTCCTTCCTTCCTAATTTCCTAATTGACTAGGCCAGCTGAGCAGGGCTTTTCTGTGCTGAGGAGGTAAATCTCTGGATATCTAGACTGAGGGGTGGAAGGAGCCTTCCAGGGCACACATGAGACATGGCAGGGGTAGGCTGCTAGTTTTATTTTGTTTTCTTTTAGACACAGGGTCTTGCTCTGTTAACCAGGCTGGAGTGCAGTGGCGTGATTATAGCTCACTGCAGCCTTGACCTCCTGGGTCTCCCACAATCCTTCCGCTTCAGCCTCTTGAGTAGCTGGGACTGCAGGTGCACACTACCACACCCGGTCCATTTATTTTTATATTTCGTAGAGACAAGATCTTACAGTTTTGCACAGAGTGATCTTAAACTCTTGACCCCAAGTGATCCTCCTGCCTTGGCCTCCAAAAGCATTGGGATTATAGGAGTGAGCCACTGTGCTGGACCTAGTCTGTCAGCTTTGAAGCTTTAGATATGAACTCAGAGGGACTTCATTTCAGAGGCATCTGCCATGTGGCCCAGCAGAGCCCATCCTGAGGAAATGACTGGTAGAGTCAGGAGCTGGCTTCAAAGCTGCCCTCACTTCACACCTTCCAGCAGCCCAGGTGCCGCCATCACGGGGCTCCCACTCTCAACTCCGCAGCCTCAGCCCCCTCAATGCTGAGGAGCAGAGCTGGTCTCCTGCCCTGACAGCTGCCAGGCACATCTTGTTCCCTCAGGTTGCACAACTGGGATAAATGACCCGGGATGAAGAAACCACTGGCATCCAGGAACTTGTCTTAGACCGTTTTGTAGGGGAAATGACCTGCAGGGACTTTCCCCAGGGACCACATCCAGCTTTTCTTCGCTCCCAAGAAACCAGCAGGGAAGGCTCAGTATAAATAGCAGCCACCGCTCCCTGGCAGGCAGGGACCCGCAGCTCAGCTACAGCACAGATCAGGTGAGGAGCACACCAAGGAGTGATTTTTAAAACTTACTCTGTTTTCTCTTTCCCAACAAGATTATCATTTCCTTTAAAAAAAATAGTTATCCTGGGGCATACAGCCATACCATTCTGAAGGTGTCTTATCTCCTCTGATCTAGAGAGGTAAGCAGGGTCGGGCCTGGTAGTACTTGGATGGGAGAACACCTGGGAATACCAGGTGCTAAAGGCTTTAAGAATAAAAAATAATGATCCTGCTTTGTGTTTATCCCATGTTGAGTTCTGTGCGGGGCAGAGGGAACACACGGTAAATGCGTTATGGGGAATTATAGGCTACTTGAGGGAGTGACAGTCTGGTGGTAACTCCTGCCTTCCTCCATCAGTGCCACGTTGGCATCCTCTTATGCAGTCAGGCTTCAGGGCTGATGGGTTCAGAACCGAGGGCTTCTGGCTCTGAGTGAGGTCCTGCTGCAAGGTTTCCTAGATGAGCCACTGAGACTCTAATAAGATCCAGTGGAAATAACCAGGCTCTCGTCGGAATATAAGTCCCAAGGGAAGCTGTGCCAGTCTTGTGGGCGACTGCCTGACTTCTCCTTTCATTTCAGCACCATGAAGCTTCTCACGGGCCTGGTTTTCTGCTCCTTGGTCCTGGGTGTCAGCAGCCGAAGCTTCTTTTCGTTCCTTGGCGAGGCTTTTGATGGTAAGGCTTCAGAAGGTTTGCAGGATTTCTGAAGAGAAACATCACCCTGGACCTGATAAACTGGGGAAAATGATGCTTTCGGAAGGCTGCTTTTGAACCACAGAGTTGCTAGTGTCTGCGTTGCTGAGGCCTGCCAGGAACTAGGGTTTGCTGGGTTGCCTGTCTCGAGTCTTTCAGAGCTGCTGGGAATATCCCCTTTCCCCGTAGTGCAGCTTCTCAGGATGTGTTAAGTGGATGGATCACATTTCAGAAGCCGCTGCAAGGTGTATCAAAAACACATCTCCTGAGCCGTAAGGGACGGGGCATCCAGTAACAACGCACACGGGGTATTTTTGGGCTTCCTTAAGATTTGAGCCGCTGCCTTAGGTTGTGCTGCCCAATGTGCCTGGGGAGCTGCTAAACAGATTAGAGAGTCGAGGATTGTTGTCAGTTACTCAGAGAAAGAACAATCATCCTTTCCAGGAGCACCTGAGCTGTTTGTTTTGCGTAGAAGATGCAAAATAAGGCCTGCAATGGGTATAAAATGTCCCTCAGCATAAATCGCATAGGAGTATGACTAAGGCTGTTGACTCTTCTGTCTTCTTTCTCCTTCCTCCTTCGATTTCCTAGTTGGATAATGTACAGGGCTCTTTAGCCTCGCTCTGTCAGGGGCTCCCTTCCTGGTTTGTTCTGTTTCCATTCTTCCTTCTCCAGCCTTCTTGACAAGAGCTGGGAACTAACGTGCCTCAAGCCCCCACAAGGACCACAGCATTTTCTCATTTAGTTTCAGAATGACTCTGTGACGCAATCTTCCTCTCTTGGAAGGTGAGAAAGCTGATCTTGGAAGGTGAGAAAGCTGAGACTTAGAGCAGCTGAAGCCAATGCCCAGGGACTTACTGCCAGTCAGCAGGTGGCAGGGCAGAGGTTTGAGCCCGGCTGTGCTTGAGGTCAGGGCTCTTGCCAGGTAGACGCATCACTGACCACCTCCTAGAGGTTGATGGTTATGAATCTCAGGCACACCTTGGCATCACCTGAAATACCCATGCCTTCAACTCCCCAGCAGAGTCTGCAGAAACTGGCCTGGGGTGTGGCCTGGGCACTGGGACTTTCAGTTTCTCTCTGGGTGATTAGAAAGTGCAGCCAAGGCTCACGCCTGTAATTCCAGCACTTTGGGAGGCCAAGGTGGATGAATCACTTGAGGTCATGAGTTCCGGAGCAGCCTGGCCAACATGGTGAAACCCCGTCTCTACTAAAAATACTAAAATGTAGCCAGGCGTGGTGGCAGGCACCTGTAATCCCAGCTACTCAGGAGGCTGAAGCACGAGAATCACTTGAACCCGAGAAGCAGAGGTTGCAGTGACTAGAGATCGCACCAGTGTCCTCCAACCTGGGTGACAGAGCGAGACTCCATCTAAAAAAAATGAAAAAGAAAGTGCAGCCAAGGCAGAGCACCACTGCCCTATTGCTTCCTCAAGCAACCCACAGCATCAGTACAGCCTACTAAGAAAGTATTTAGGGACTTTTATGCTCCTAACAGTCACTGGAACTCACGTCACAATGACGTGTATTCCATTTGCAAGAATATATACTTTAGGTCGGGGTGCGGTGGCTCACGCCTGTAATCCCAGCACTTTGGGAGGCCAAGGCAGGGGGATCACGAGGTCAGGAGTTCGAGACCAGCCTGACCAACATGGTGAAATCCCCGTCTCTACTAAAAATACAAAAATTAGCCAGGCGTGATGGCGCATGCCTGTAATCTCAGCTACTCAGGAGGCTGAGGCAGAAGAATCTCTTGAACCTGGGAGGTGGAGGTTGCGATGAGCTGAGATAGCACCACTGCACTCCAGCCTGGGCGACAGAGCAAGACTCTGTCTAAAAAAAAAAAAAAAAAAAAAAAAAAAAAAAAGAATATAAACTTTAGTAGTCAGGGCAGAAGTACTCTGTGTCTGCCACCTTTCTCAGCATCAGTATTCCATGTCACTACCTCATTCATACACACTCCTGGATCTTATCATAGGCAGCTTCATTCTATAGCAGTGGCTCTTCACCAGGGCACTTGAAGAAGCCAACTAGGATAAAGGAATGTGCTTCTCAACCCATGGTATCCAAGGCTGCTATGATCACAGGCTGAAAGCTTGAAGTCAGTGGAAGATTTGTCCTTCCTCATTCCCCTCTAAGGTGTTGTTGGAGTCTTTATGTTCTCCTGATGTCCCTTCTGCCTTTCCTTTCCTTTCCAGGGGCTCGGGACATGTGGAGAGCCTACTCTGACATGAGAGAAGCCAATTACATCGGCTCAGACAAATACTTCCATGCTCGGGGGAACTATGATGCTGCCAAAAGGGGACCTGGGGGTGCCTGGGCTGCAGAAGTGATCACGTAACTGGAGCTCCTGGGACGTTAGGGCTGGGTGAGCAGAGCTTGCCTGCCTTGGACAGTCAGGAGGGAGACGAGCTCCTTGTGGAGAAGTTAGAGGCTGCGGCCCCTCCTCCTCTTGCCCTCTCTCTGCCTCTGTGCTCAGTGTGAGGTCTGAGTGGATGGTAGGAGTGAGTGATTCCTCATCCTCCCTCTCTGGGTGCTGTTCATCCAGCCTAGGGGTGCCCAGCCTGGCTGAATGGGGTGGTGCCCAGTGTTTTCATCCCTCCTTCCTTGGCCTTTCTGGGCTCCTCTCTGAGCCCTCCCTTGGAACAGGGAGAATGGGAGGGTGGGCTATTGCTCACTGGCCTGATTATTAATCTCCTTCTTGCCTGCCTTGATTACAGCGATGCCAGAGAGAATATCCAGAGATTCTTTGGCCATGGTGCGGAGGACTCGCTGGCTGATCAGGCTGCCAATGAATGGGGCAGGAGTGGCAAAGACCCCAATCACTTCCGACCTGCTGGCCTGCCTGAGAAATACTGAGCTTCCTCTTCACTCTGCTCTCAGGAGATCTGGCTGTGAGGCCCTCAGGGCAGGGATACAAAGCGGGGAGAGGGTACACAATGGGTATCTAATAAATACTTAAGAGGTGGAATTTGTGGAAACTGGGTGTTATACTTTGTGGTATAGACTGCCTGTTTAGTATGAAGGGGCGATCCATGCACATCTAAGTGAACGTGGAGGCTGGGTGGGTGGGAGACGACTCCTGGGCACACAGGGCATCCTGGGCATCCCTGAGGCAAGGACATGATGAGTTCAGTGGCCACCCCCACAGGATCCCAGGGGCTTCAGCAGATCCCACCCCTTACCCCATGTGAGCAGCTGCCCAGTGAGTCTGTAGGAACCCGAGCCACATTCCCAGTGAGTTCAACTGCACCCCGGCACGTTTTGCTAGCACCTCAATGGAGAGCTCCTTGCTTGCAGCTTTGGCTTGTGGCACCCAGCAAAAGCTTCCTGCCACCCAGTGGCTACAGCCACACACTCTCCAGCAAGATTTAATCTCAGCCTTGTGAGGAGCCCTTTCCCAAATTTATTTCTTTCTGTGTTTTTTATCCCTTAGTAGCTAATCTCATGTTAGCCATTAATAACTCTCTATGTTAAACCCTTCCTTTTGTATCTGCGGCTACATTGATCAATTGTCTCACACCGCTCACCCACCCCCTCTCCCTGGTCATGCAGAGGCCTCACCAGTCATTTTATTGCTATTCCCAGGCCTCTGTGTGCCCAGATCTCTTCACTGCCCTGTCAGTTGTGTCCTGTCCCCTTCTCGACCTCCTGGCCTTGTCCTCAATGATGTTTCTATGAGGCTTTGGAAAGCCTCATCCCAAGAGTCCTGGCAACTGATACATTAGTCTCACCAACACTAGCCCCTACTCCTGATCTCATTTTAAAATTTTATTTTCTTATTTTATTATTATTATTTTTAGGGACATCACCCTGCTTCTGACTGACCCAATTTTTAAAGTTTCTCTTTATTCTCCTTAAAGAATGGCTCTCCCATTTGTTTCCCTCATCTTTCTTTTCACTGACTTAGAATTCAGGTCCAGACAAAAATTCCACTTCCTTGAAGAGCCTTCCCAGTAGCCATGAACCACACTCTGGGGCAGAGTTTGTGGCTCCCAAGCACTTTGTTCACACCTGCTCGTTCATCTTTACCCCCTCCTCTCAGAATTGGTTTTGTATGTCAGTTCCCCTGCTGGACTGGAAGCCCCTGTAACATAACTAGCATTTGAACAGTTCATAAAAACACTTTCATTTCTATTGTCCTGTGTAACTGTTCACAAGATACATTAGTCTCACTCATTGTCGTTTGACAATGTTTATTGTTCTAAAGAGAAAGCGAGATATGTAGGTAGACACAACACAATAAGAGCCTCAATACAGGCACACACTGGTGGCAGTCCAAACTCTGCTGGAATATGGAAGGCCAGTGAATAGTAACTAGAATCGCTGCCATCTTTTACACTGCAATTGCAAGACTGTGTCCTATACTTTACATGCTTTATCGGATTGACACTGCAGAGAAGCCTTTGATGTTCTCGGTTGGATAAACAGGTTTAGAGGTATGTGTTCAGGCCTTCTCCAAGGTCACACATGTAACAGGTGCAGAGCCAAGACTGCAGGCTGGTTTGTCTGACTCCAGAACCTGTGATACACTGAACAAGGCCAAGAGATTCAGCAGTGGAGACCTCCTCTCTTCTTCAGGAAGATAGGGAACATGGTAAGAGCAGTGAATTCCATAAGCATGGGACCCCGTTATACTTCATTTTTTGTAAAATTAGTTCCTTGATCAGAAGCAACGCCTTTGGGTCTCTCGCTATTGAGTTAAGTGTGGATGTGCCACTCTCCCTAGTACCCCAGAGTGTAGTTGGAGGCTTGCCTAGAGATTAGAGGTTGAGGATCCTTCAGTAGTTCCTATACCAAGCCATAAGTTGTGCTGCATCTGCAGGTAGGGTCAGGGAGCTCCGCTGAACAGATGTGGAGGACATCAGAGTGGGAGGAAAAGGAAGCAAGTCGTGTGGGGAGAGAAGACCCAGCCTGCAATGATGACTGGTTAACTACTGTTTCTTACCTAATACACACTCAGATAACAGACTAAGTCTAGGTGATAAAGCCTCAAAGAATAGCAGACTCTCCCCACTGCACCCGCTTCCCACCTCCGCCACCTTTCCACAATTCTTAGCATGGGTTCTCCTGAAAAGAAAGCGGAAACAAAGTCTTGTGTGTAGGTATTTTATTTGGGGAATGAACACGGGGAGCAGGAGTGAGACAGTGGAGTAAAACAGGGAAGAGCAAGGCCAATACAGGGACACATTATACAGCTGGCCATGCATAAGAGCCACATAACTGATGCCACTGGGACCTTCAGAGGAACATCATAAAAAGTGTCTCAGTGCTCTCCATCAGCAGTCCAAACTGAAAGGCACCTAGCAACTGGCTTCCATCTCCCTTTGGTCAAAGGTGGCCCCACCATTGTTAACTTTTCTGCATTTGTTGGCTATGCACACAAGAGTGTCCAGTGGGTTTACCTGGAGTAGGAAGTAGAAGGTCCACGGAGCAGACCCAAAGCAAGGTGCTGCCAGGTTGTACCTGTGTGAAATGAATTAAAGCCTATGGTGGAACCCATCACTGTAGCAGTGGCTGGAGAAAGGGGAGTGGGCCAACAGGTCTGAAGTAGTTGACAGGCTGCATCTGATACACAGTGCAAAGCTTTGCTTTTTGAAAGTAAGGTCTGGACACAGCAAGTTCACTTGGGAACAAAGGAATGGACTGGATCTTAGACTAAGAATAAAAGAGACAAGAAGAAACTATACTGGGTAGCCAAGATGGGGAAAGAGGCAGGGCGACTGGGAGAGACAGAGAAATGTAAACCACCATGGACTAATGAAACCTGCCATAACCCTTGTGATCCCACACAGATGCCACTCCCAGGGGGAACATGATTTGGAGCACAGTGCTCCACAAGACACTGAAGGAATTTAGGGATGCTATGGGGCTTTAATAGGTTTAGGGACATGGTGACATTCCTAGCAACAAGATTGTAACACACTACATAATCTTTTGCTTGAAATAACTTGTTTTTGTTTTCTTACAATATAGGTACTTTGTTAGAGGCTGCGGTAAAATGAGGGTAATATGATGGCCTTTATGGTTAGGGGATACAAGGAATATATGAATCTTATGCCCAATCAAACCCACAAGGTCCCCAATGGAGATAAGTTCTGAGGACAATGACCAGCACTCTATTGTTGGTTGGGGTTTGGCCCCAAACTTCAAAGCAGAACTCTGGTAAGTTGGGCTGCACTGCATGGTCTGGGATAGAAGTCTAAGAGGACTTCTTTCAAAATCAGTCTCCAACCCCTCAGATCAGAAAGGCCATTCCAGTCAGCCCCCACCAGCACTGGAGGGAGCGAACCAGGGAGCATGAGCTTGTGTTTGACTCACTCAGAGCCAAGTTCCTATTGCACACCTCATAGGCTTTTTCCAAATTAGAAAAGGACAGAAGGACCTGTGAGACCTGCTCTCCTTCACTTCCTTTAGTAGGGTAAGGCTAACTTGCTTCAACAAAGATACTCCAAAATACAGAATGTTAAGGAATATACAAATTTATGTCTCACCTAACAGTTTGTGATGAGTATTTCAGCTGCCAGGGACTTCAGCTCCGTACTGTCTTTCAGGTTCCTTCCAAGTTGTTGGCTCTACCATACTTCAGACTGACCCTTGCTACTCAAAGTGTGATCCAAGGACCAGAGGCATCAGCATCGCCTGGGATCTTGTCAGAAATGCAAAATCTCAGGCTCTACCCTAGATCTACTGTGGCAGTCAGGAGCTCCTACCTAATCTGTAGGAACTACAGCAAAAAATAAAAATAAAAAATAAGTAGGGACTTTGTTGAGAAGCCAAAACAGGGGAAAAAAATGTGGGAACCCTTGTCCATCAATTATTAAGAATTTCAAAACAGTGAAAGCAGAACATTAAACCAAGTGGGGGGCCCTCATAAGCTCAGGGTTCTGACAATTATACAGCCCTCACGTCCATGTGAGGTGGACAGAATCCTAAGGAAATTTCAGCAGGTGGGCAATGGGTGAAAAGCCACGCCAGAATTGAACAGGAACATATGCAAAAAGAGCAAAGTGCAGAACGTATGCAAGGAACGGAGGACCCAGGACAAGGGACAAACTTGGGCTCTGAAACAGAAAAAGTTTGAAAATAGATCACGGAAGGCCTTAAATGCCAAGCCCAAGGGCTTGGGCTGTACTCTGAAAACAGAGGGGAGGCGTTGAAAGTTTCTGACTGGGAAGTGGCATGACTGTGCCCCAAGAAGACAAAGATCCTGGCAGTGCATCTGCAATTAACTTCCCATGAAAGCAAGATAAACAATCTTTCTCATGGACTGTGATGCATCTATACACGAGGATGACTCTATCTAAATCTCAGAACAGTGTGGGGGTCGATGGCAAGTTGAGGGAGGTTAAATTAGTCCATTGAGCCCGGGCACAGTGGCTCACGCCTGTAATCCCAGCACGTCAGGAGGCCCAGGCAAGCAGATTAATTGAGGTCAGGAGTTGGAGACCAGCCTGGCCAACATAATGAAACCCCACATTTACTAAAAATACAAAAATTAGCCAGGCGTGGTGGTGCACACCTGTAATCCCAGCTACTCGGTAGGCTGAGGCAGGAGAATCGCTTGAAACCAGGAGGTTGCAGTGAGCTGAGATCGTGTCATTGCACTCCAGCCTGGGTGACAGAGCGAGACTCCGTCTCAAAAATAAAAATAAATTAGTCCCTTGATCTATAGTTTTCAGGTTTGGGGCAGGGTCTCTACCAATTGTATTTTTTTTTTTTTTTTTGAGACAGACTCTCACTCTGTCACCCAGGCTGTAGTGCCGTGGTGCGATCTCAGCTCACTGCAACCTCTGCCTCCCGGGTTCAAGCGATTCTCATGTCTCAGCCTCCTGAGTAGCTGGGACTACCTGTGTGTGCCACCATGCCCAGCTAATTTTTTTTTTTAACAGTCTCGCTGTGTGGCCCAGGCTGGAGAGCAGTGGTGCAATCTCAGCTCACTGCAACCTCCACCTCCCAGGTTCAAGCGATTCTCCTGCCTCAGCCTCCCAAGTAGCGGGACTACAGGAACCCACCACCATGCCCAGCTAAATTTTTATTGTATTTTAGTAAAGACAGGGTTTCACTATGTTGGCCAGGCTGGTCTTGAACTCCTGACCTCAGGTGATCCGCCCACCTTGGCCTCCCAAAGTGCTGGGATTACAAGTGTGAGCCACCATGCCTGGCCAGCAATTGTATTTTTAACAGGCTCCTGCGGTGATTCTGATATGGAGCCAGGTTTGTGAATCACCTGACTGGGTAATAGTGTGTCCGGAATTGGTGGGTTCTTGGTCTCACTGACTTCAAGAATGAAGCCACAGACCCTCTCGGTGAGTGTTTAAGTGTTACAGTTCTTAAAGGTGGGGTGTCCGGAATGTTACTTCTGGTGTTCGGAGTTTCTTTTCTGGTGGGTTCGTGGTCTCCCTGGCTCAGGAGTGAAGCTATGGACCTTCGTGGTGAGTGTTACAGCTCTTAAGGTGGAGCGTCTGGAGTTGTCTGTCCCTCCCGGTGGGTTCATGGTCTCACTGGCTTCAGGAGTGAACTGCAGACCTTCGCAGTGAGTGTTACAGCTCATAAAGGCAGTGTGGACCCAAAAAGTGAGCAGCAGCAAGATTTATTGCAAAGAGCAAAAGAACAAAGCTTCCACAGTGTGGAAGGGGACCTGAGCAGGTTGCCACCCCAGTTCAGGCAGCCTGCTTTTATTCTCTTATCTGGCCCCACCCACATCCTGCTGATTGGTCCATTTTACAGAGAGCTGATTGGTCCGTTTTGACAGGGTGCTGATTGGTGCATTTACAATCCCTGAGCTAGACACAAAAGTTCTCCACATCCCCACTAGATTAGCTAGATACAGAATGCTGACTGGTGTATTTACAGTCCCTTAGCTAGACATAAAGGTTCTCCAAGTCCCCACCAGAGTAGCTAGATACAGTGTCGATTGGTGCATTCACAAACCCTGAGCTAGACACAGGGTGCTGATTGGTGTGTTTACAAACCTTGAGCTAGATACAGAGTGCCGATTGGTGTATTTACAATCCCTCAGCTAGACATAAAGGTTCTCCAAGTCCCCACCAGACGCAGGAGCCCAGCTGGCTTCACCCAGTGGATCCCGCACCGGGGCCACAGGTGGAGCTGCCTGCCAGTCCCCTGCCATGTGCCCGCACTCCTCAGCCCTTGGGTGGTCAATGGGACTGGGCGCCCTGGAGCAGGGGGCGGTGCTCGTCAGGGAGGCTTGGGCCGCACAGGAGCCCACGGAGTCGGGGGGAGGCTCAGGCATGGCGGGCTGCAGGTCCCGAGCCCTGCCCCACAGGAAGGCAGCTAAGGCCTAGCGAGAAATTGAGCACAGCAGCTGCTGGCCCAGGTGCTAAGCCCCTCACTGCCCAGGGCCGGTGGGGCCGGCCGGCCGCTCCGATGCGGGGCCCGCTGAGCCCACGCCCACCCGGAACTCGCGCTGGCCCGCAAGCACCGCGCACAGCCCCGGTTCCCACCTGCGCCTCTCCCTCCACACCGCCCTGCAAGCTGAGGGAGCCGGCTCCAGCCTTGGCCAGCCCAGAAAGGGGCTCCCACAGTGCAGCAGCGAGCTAAAGGGCTCCTCAAGTGCCGCCAGAGTGGGGGCCGAGGCCGAGGAGGCACGGAGAGTGAGCGAGGGCTGCGAGGGTCGCCAGCACGCTGTCACCTCTTAATAGATCTAAGATTGTTTACATTTATTGTGCTGAGATGAACTGGTGGCAGTGATGGGATGTCAGTGGTTAGAGGTGAAGAGAGGAAGGTCACTTAAGTCTGCTGTAATGGGCCAGGCGCAGTGGCTCACGCCTGTAATCCAAGCACTTTAGGAGGCCAAGGCAGGTGGATCACCTGAAGTTGGGAGTTCCAGACCAGCCTGACCAACATGGAGAAACCCCATCTCTACTAAAAATAATAATAAATAAATAAAAACAACAACAAAATTAGCTGGGTGTGGTTGCACATGCCTGTAATCCCAGCTACTCAGGAGGCTGAAGCAGGAGAATCGCTTGAACCTGGGAGGCGGAGGTTGCTGTGAGCCGAGATGACACCATTGCACTCCAGCCTGGGCAACAAGAGCGAAACTCCGTCTCAAAAAAAAAAAAAAAAAAAAAAGACTGTGGCAATAGTCTAGGCAAGAAATAATGAGAACGTGAGCTGGTGGCAAGAGACAATGGGAAAAAAATGACTAATGGAAAACACCAGCAAGGTAGAATTGAAAGCAAGGTAGAAATGTACCTAGTCATTAGAAGTGAGGGTAGAGGAGGAGGAAGAGGCAAGGATGACTACTACAAGGTTTTGAGCCTTGACCAGGGCAATCACAAATTTAACACATGCAAGGAAATTATTAATTTCAATTTTCGTCTTCCCACTGTCTCTGGCTCATGTAAATCCAATGTCTATGGGTCTGATAACTACCAGGTCCAACAACGACATCCCAAACCTTTCTAACAATAGCTAACATTATTACCTATACGCTACATCACAGGCACTGTGCCCTACCATTTCCGTCTCCTTTAATTCTCACTAAAAAGGAGCTCTAACACCTCAACTCTTTCTTTGTGCTATTATCTCATCTAATCCTCAAAATACCCTGAATCAGAGCTACCATCATCCCCATTTTACAGATGAGAACACTAGAACTTAGAAAAACAAAGGAACTTCCCAAAGTCATGAAGCAAAAGAGAGAGTAGATATTCAAACCAAGGCAGTCAGCCTCAGAACACAAGCTCTCAGCCACTGTGATGCCCTGTAAAACAGCCGGTCAGATCTGTAAACAAAAGGGAAAAGGGAGGCAACCATGAATCACAATCTGCCTAGAACTTTCAGGGAAGCGAAAGAAAGATACAAGTTCTATTTAAAAACTAATACCCAAATAGACTGCAAGTTTAAATGTTTAACTGAAGGAGATTTTTTTTTTCATCTAATGTCATGAAGGTGATTTTTGTTTGTTTGCCTCGGAAAATAAATTCAAGTGACAAGATTTGTTTTTGTTATATTAGAAATTTCTCTCCATACCCTTTATCAAATGAGAATTGCTGTGCCTTGAGAAGGTCTGTGAAGAAATGATTGCACAATTGTGCCAGTTCATGCTGTCTGCTTGTCACGGGACTTCCTCTGGGCCTTCTAGTAGTGACTGTGCTGACAGTGGACAGGGGCTCTCACCCTTATCTCAGTATAGATGCACATTTCAACACAATCCAATATGGCCAAAAGGCAAATTATGCTAGTGGGAAGGTTTTCCATACTTCCCGGAATTCTAAGAATTCTCCTTTCCCTGACAATCTCTCTTTTTTTTTGGGACGGAGTCTCACTCTGTCGCCCAACCTGGAGTGCAGTGGCACGATCTTGGCTCACTGCAAGCTCCGGCTCCCGGGTTCACGCCATTCTCCTGCCTCAGCCTCCCGAGTAGCTGGGACTACAGGCGCCAGCCATCATGCCAGGCTAATTTTTTTGTATTTTTAGTAGAGACGGGGTTTCACCGTGTTAGCCAGGATGGTCTCGATCTCCTGACCTCGTGATCCACCCGCCTTGGCCTCCCAAAGTGCTGAGATTACAAGCGTGAGCCACCGCGCCCAGCCGACAATCTCTTTAACCCATATGGTTGCATCATATCTAGGAGTAATGTGTAAGTTTAACAGTGATTTGTGTCCATATTCTCTGGTTATGTTATAAATGCAAAAAAGAGTTGAATTGTTCAGTGCATCCAACACTTTACTTACTCCACACCTTTCTGCAAAATGCTCATAATAAACCTCCTGTCTACATTGTGTTCCAATGAAAACTTTAGTCATATTTTACATTTATTATTAATATAACATGCTATGTAAATGTACAGGAGCCTGACAAATGACAATCTACTTACATAATTTAAATAACACAAGTGCTTGCTGCAGTCTTTATTAGTACACAGCTTTGTTATGGCTTCTTAGAAATAATTTTAAAAAGTGCATGATTCTTGTGGGCTACTCTGTTTAGGAAAGATTACAGATAACACATTTCTAAGAATGAATTAGTCAGCTGTATATGGGTTCAGATTAGAAAATATTAAATAAATACAGGGAAAAATATTTTTAATTAGCTTAATTTATATATGAAGATATTTTATTTAATTTGTTTTTGAGACAGGGTCTTTCTCTGTCACCCAGACTGGTGTGCAATGGCACAAACACATCTCATTGCGGCCTGGACCTCCTGGCCTCAGGTACTATGCCTAGCTAATTTTTTTTATTTTTTGTAGAGATGCATTCTCACTATGTTGCCCAGGCTGGTCTTGAACTCCTGGCCTCAAGTGATCCTCCCGTCTTTACCTTCCAAAGGGTTGGGATTACAGGCCTGAGCCACTGCACCCAGTCCCATTTTACTTAAATATCAAATTCAAATCTTCAGTGTTCTACTTATTTTGGGTGTTAATTCCATTATACACCGTCTTATTTCAGTAATTTCCATATTGTGCCAGACAAGATATAAAAATAATTCAACTCCAGTCAATAATACCATCTGTCTTCATGTGACCAGGATGAAAAGCTTCTGCTCCCAACATGGAAGCCACAGTAAGAAAAGAATCTGTCTAATCCACTAGCAACAAGCAGTTAATACTGTAGTTCGGAATAATACTAGGACATTAACATTCTAATTCCAGCAAACAAGGACTGACTCTTTTCAAAATTCAACTTTGGTTAAGAAATGCTGAGTACAACTTTGGTTAAGAAACACTGAGGTCATGGATAAAGAGTCACAGATGCCGATGCCAAGGGTACAGACACTGACAAAAGTAGCCCCAATAAGATGGCAGGATTTGGGGGTGGTGTCTTTCCTTCAATAACAAATGCGTTCAGAAGGTTCAGGAGCATGATTTAGTTTTTCTCAAAATGTCATGACATCCTGCTGAATCTTCTCCCACTAGGCCTGCTGGGACCAGAGAAACCGATCGCATTTTTCAAGCATGCTTTGTATCAAGGCCCTGAAATCCCAAAGAAAAGAAACAAGCAAATTTAGTTGTCATTGTTCATTCTTCACAGAAAACTTAAAAACTACAGAGTTTCAGAGGATTCAAAAAGTTGACTGATTCTGTGCATTAAAAGACACAATGCACAGAGTGAAAAGGCAACCTACAGAATGGAAGAAAATATTTGCAAATCATGTATCTGATAAGAGGTTAATATCCAGAATATCAGAGAACTCTTACAGCAACAACAACGAAAACACCCAACCTGATTCAACATGGGCAAAGGACTTGAATAGCTATTTCTCCAAAGACAATTATATAAATGGTCAATAAGCATATGAAAAAATGCTCAACATCTCTAATCATTAGAAAAATGCAAATCAAAACCACAATGAGATATATAGTACCTGACACCC
Source organism: Homo sapiens (assembly GCF_000001405.40). Classification (NCBI taxonomy): domain Eukaryota; kingdom Metazoa; phylum Chordata; class Mammalia; order Primates; family Hominidae; genus Homo; species Homo sapiens. Next base: position 29,170 of record NW_021160006.1, read on the forward strand.
ACTGGGATAGCTACTGTTTAACAAAAAACAACAACAGAAAATGACAAGTGTGGGGCTAGCACATGGAGAAATTGGAACTCTTGTGCACTGCTGGCAGGAAAGTAAAATGGTGCAGTCTCTACAGAACAGTATGGTGGTTCCTCAAAAAATTAAAAATAGAATTACCATATGATTCCAGAATTCCACTTTCAGGTATATACCCGAAAGAACTGAAAGCAGTGTCTGGAAGACATATTTGTATACTCATATTCATAGCAGCGTTATTCACAATAGCCAGAAAGTGGAAGCAATTCAAGTGTCTGTCAACAGATGAATGGATAAACAAAAGGTGGCATATATATACAACGGAATATTATTCAGCCTTAAGTAGAAAGGAAATCCTGACACATGCTACAACATGGATAAACCTTTAGGATGCTATGCTCAGTGAAAACAGGCTGGTCACAAAACGACAAATGTATTAATTCCACTGAGATGAGGTATGTAGAATAGTAAAATTAATAAAAACAGAAAGTAGAACTGTGGTTGCCAGGGGCTAGGTAGAGGAAGTAAGTTGCTGTTTAATGGGTGTGGAGTTTCAGTTTTGCAAAATGAAAAAGTTCTAGAGACTGGATGCAAAACAATATGAATAACTTAATACCACTGAGCTGAATATTTTTAAATTGTTAAGATGATAAATTTTATGTGTATTATACCACAAAAAAAAATTACTGAGACATTAGGTATCTGGTACCAGTAATTTTTTTTTTTTTTTTCAGAGTTTTGCTCTTGTTGCCCAGGGTGGAGTGCAATGGCGTGATCTTGGCTCACTGCAATCTCTGCCTGCTGAGTTCAAGCGATTCTCCTGCCTCAGCTTCCCGAGTAGCTGGGAATTACAAGTGTCTGCCACCATGTCCAGTTAATTTTTTTGCATTTTTTTTTTTTTTTTTTAGTAGAGACAGGGTTTCACCATATTGGTTAGGCTGGTCTCGAACTCCTGACCTCAGGTTATCCACCTGCCTCAGCCTCCCCAAGTACTGGGATTACAGGCATAAGCCACCGTACCCAGCCAGGTACCAGTAATTTTTTTGTTTTTGAGATGGAGTCTCGCTCTGTCACCAGGCTAGAGTACAGTGTCATGTTCTTGGCTCACTGCAACCTCCACCTTCCGAGTTCAAGCGATTCTCCTGCCTCAGCCTCCCAAGTAGCTGGGACTACAGGCACGTGCCACCACACCCAGCTAATTTTTGTACTTTTTTTTTTTAGTAGAGATGGGGTTTCACCATGTTGCCAGGATGGTCTCAATCTCTTGACCTCATGATCCGCCCACCTCGGCCTCACAAAGTGCAAGGATTACAGGCGTGAACCACCACGACCAGCCTGGTACCAGTAATATTTTTAAAGAATCAAGGACACATCAGATTATTCAGGTTAATCTGAACAGCATCTTGGTCATGGCTGTGAATGAAATATTACTTTAGCCTCTTCCCTTAATTACCACATCAGTCTCAGTCTCCTCATGTTAGTGATGGGTCGGGACTAAATGATCTCCACATCTACATCTGAAAGTCTGTGGCCTTCTACCTTCTCCAAGCACTATGCAGAGGGTAGGACAAACTGATATTACCTCTGCCTTTTCTCAGCAATCCTCAGGATATCGCAGGTTCTGGTAAACTTCTCTGACAACTCAAGGGCCAGACCACATTCCTGTAGCAGTGACCAAGCCCGATCTGGGCCCATGGCCTTAGCTAACAGAAGTGCCACATTCTCCACATTGATGGGGGAAGGCCCATCACTGAGGCTCCCATTTAGTGACTCCTGGGGGGCTGGCCTCGTGCTCTTGCTCTGTATGAGATGAAGGAGAAGCTTCCATTCCTCCACGGTCTCTGGGATCCAACCTAAACACACACAGGGAAGTGTCAGTTTGACCACTCTTAGCACACTGACTGGATACAGGAGATGGTCAAAACTGTGAAAATGTTTAATGCCAAAACGTAAAAATATTCAAGAACACAATCTCATCACCCTAACACAAGTTGTTTTCTGAAAATTTGTTGTATAAATTGTTCATGAGAAAGAGAAGCCACAAAATTAACTTTAATTTTTTTCTTTTTTTTTTTTAAAGAGAGACAGGGTCTCACTACCATGTTGCCCAGGCTGGTCTTAAACTCCTGAGCTCAAGCAAGCCTCCCACCGCAGCCTCCCAAAGTGCTGGGATTACAGGCATGAGCTACCACACCTGGGCAGCTTCAGAATTCTTTCAACCACTCAGTAATTACCCAGGGCATATCCTATGCTAAGCACTGGATATGTAATGATGAACAGAAGAGACACAATCCCTGTACTCTTGTGGAGCCTACAGTCTAGTATAGGAGACAAAACTTAAACACGTAAGTATATACTTATAAAGTATGCTAAGCACTATGAAAAAAAAGAACAAGGAAGCATCAGAGAGAATGGCTGATTCTGCCTGGAAGATCTGAGAAGGGCTCTATGAGGAAGTGACATTGAAGCAGAAAGCTAAAAGATGAGACAAGCTTAGAGGACATATGCATGGGGCCCACATAATGTGAAAACTTGGAGTAGGAGCCATCAGAAATAAGGGGCCTGCATTTCTGATAAAGGAAACATGGAAGACAATGTGACACAGGAAAGAACTTGACGAATTCAAGGAATTTTTCTTTTCCTTTTTGTTTTGAGACCAAGTCTTGCTCTGTTGCCCAAGCTGGAGTGCAGTGGTGCGATCTCAGCTCACTGCAACCTCCACCTCCCAGGTTCAAGCAATTCTCCTGCCTCAGCCTCTCAAGTAGCTGGGATTACAAGCATAAGCCACCATGCCCAGTTAATTTTTGTATTTTTAGTAGAGATGGGGTTTCACCATGTTGGCCAGGCTGGTCTCAAACTCCCGACCTCAGGTGATCTGCCCACCTCGGCCTCTGAAAGTGCTGGAATTACAAGCGTGAGCCACCGCGCCTGGCCAGAATCATCTTTAATTAATGGGAAATTAAAAAAAAAAAAAAAAAAGAGCCTAAGCACAAATTTTGGAGGAAGTCCTTGGTCTGAACCCCAGCTCCAGCATTTACAATTAGTAGCTGTGTGACTTTGGGCCAATTAACTGTCCCTTCTGTACCTCAGTTATCTGGAAAGTGGAAATAATAGTAACTATCCCCAGAGTTTGTTATCTCATTTAAAACAACATATGGAAAGCACACAGTATAGTGCCTAACACATAGTAGGCACTCATGAAATAGAAAAGTTGCCTATAGTTTATTCTTAATTGTGATTTCATAACATATCAAGGGCTATAGGTAAAAAACAAAAACAAAAACAAAAACTCCACAAATGTGACAACTAAGTGGAATCACATATTAAATATATGATCATTGAAAGGTTCACCAAATTTTTTTGTTGAGAGGTCTGGAGTAACTTCTAAAAATTGACAACCAAGAGTAACCAGTTAGGATTGACATACCATTGTCCCCTTCCATCAGGCTCATATCATTCAGATACACAATATTGGTGAAGGCCTCTCTTCTTCTCTCCAGCTCCAAACAGAGAATTAGATATCCAGGCCAGAAACTTTAAAGAGACCGAAGTTGAAGAAAGGAATAAAAGGCCATGAATTTATCTGGAGCTGTGCTGCCCAAAACAGTAGACACAGTCACATGTGGCTATTTCAATTTAAATTAATTAAAAGTAAATAACATCTGAAAGTCAGTTTTTCAGTTAATATATTCACATTTCAAGTAGTCAATGGCTACATGTGGCTAGTGGCCACCATTGGACAGTTCAGTAGAATATCTCCACTATCACAGAAAGTTCTATTAGATGACCCTGATCTAGGGAAAAAAAAAAAACAAAAAACCTAGCAACAAATGCTGACATTTGAGGCCAAGCTCCAATTATAAGGCATTTAAGCTTTATTCAATTTATAAACTTTAAAATTCAACACAAACCTAGCATATTTCTTCTCCAAATATGTAAACCTTGGAAGTCTTCCTTGACTCTTCCCCCTCCTTCATTTGCTATATCCAGTATCAGCATGTCCCACTGCATTTTCCTTTGAAATGCCCACTGGATGTGCTCCTTTTGCTGCCCTACTAATCACCAATCCACTCATATCTGAATTACTCCAACAGCTTCCTAGCTGGCCTTCTGTCTCCAGCCTTCTCATATATGACATCAGAAATGATCTCTAGAAAGCTCCACTTTCATTACACAATTTTTGCACCAAGTAGTTCAGTCTAAAAGGGTCTCTACTGATAACTAAATTATTCTACCAGCTTTCAAGGTCCTGCATGATCTTGTCACCCACCACCTGGCCAGACTCAGCCCTCATTACAATGAACAAATATGTATCAAGTGCCTACCACTATACAAATTAGATATAGACATTATGAGGGAAAAGAAAGACACAAGTTGCTATCTCCAAAAGATTATAATCCAGTTGGAGCCATAAGCCAGTATCACCAGGCAATAAATAACTGACTGAAGTGTGACATGGATAATAAGCAATGCCAGTTTTCCACGCCCTTGCTCTGTTTCTCTCACCTAACTCACCCTCTCCTGGCTCCTTTATAAATACAAATCCTACCCAGGTTTTAGGTTTTACCTCCAAAATCTCACCTCCTCCTTGAGTCCTTCACCAGCGATGCTATTGAGCCCATTTTGATCTCTCTCTTACTGTATTAATTATAAAAGTCTATCAATTATAATTGGTATCACATAATCTGGTGCTTAATTAAATACTATCTACATGCCTGAGAACTGGGGCTGGCAACTAAGCAGAGGGAGTGGAGGGGAATTAGCTAAGGCTATTTAAAAAAAAAAAAAAAAGAAAAAAGCAAGAAATTTAAATGGAAAAAAGATGTTTAATTTACTATCACTTAAAACAAAAAGGTACTTTTAAATAGCAAAGAGAATCCCCAAATATTAATGTGTATTAATTCAGACCCTTAACTATAAAGTTGTTAACTGAAATGTTTCTAACCTTAACTTCAGTTTCTAAAAAATTCTCACTTACCCACAAGACCTGCAGATGTCTGTCATTTTCTCTTTGGTTATAAAATCTGCAGGAAGTTTAATTAGATGAAGGATCAGCTGACTGTAACCCCAGGAAAGCAAGTGTGAATGAGGCCTATGAAATGAAAAGGAATCAGTAAATTAGATAGGAAATAAACTCTAGAAAATGCTTATTTATCACCTAATAGGTAAGAATAGAGTTTAACTGCATTCTATTACTACATTTTAAAAACATTGCTATTTGGCTTTTGAAAACTTAAAAATAGCTATTTTTCCTATAACCTGTTTATTTTTAAAGATTAGATACTTTAGGTAATCAAAAGCAAAAGAAATAAATTCTTTTTTCTTCTTTTAATTCTATCATTCCATCACTCACAGATAACCACTGCATATCCTTCCAGACTTTTTGCTAGGAATATAAGACAGGCATTTGGGGGTCTTTTAAGAAGCTTCTCCTGGGAGGAAACGCAAGCAATAGTTCTGACACAAGTACCAGTGTGTACTTTAATTTTATTTTATTTTTAAAGTCCTAGATCAGGTTATGTCTAAAAATTCCTTGACACATTTTTAGGAAGAAAACACATACATACCTATCTCCCTAACCCCCACACCCAGTTTTATCCTCTCACAGGCTTAATCACCAAGGTCTCTTAATGTGGGCCCATGAAAAACCTGCAGGCGGTCAGCTGTGCAAAGTTTTGCATGACTGCATTTTTCTAAAAGGAATCATCAGATTCTTATAGGGTGACCCCAAAAAATTTCAGAACCACTAAGAAATATACTTAATCTCATTACTACCATGACTTGGGTCAGTCTCTTCCATAGCTATTTCTAAAGTGAGCCCAGAATGCCATATGTGAATAAACCAGTTCCATTCCAAAGGAACACTGGAGCTTAATCCTTAGAAATAAGACTCCTAGCCAGGCACAGTGGCTCACGCCTCTAATCCCAGCACTTTGTGAGGCCAAGGCAGGTAGATCGCTTGAGCCCAGGAGATCGAGACCAGCCTGGGCCATAAGGCGAAATCTCATCTGTACAAAAAATTAGCCGGGCAGAGTGGTGTGCTCCTGTCTTCCCAGCTACTCAGGAAGCTAAGGTTGAAGGGTTTAATCACCTGAGCCTAGGAGGTCAAGGCTGCAGGAAGCCATGATCTTAGCACCACATTCCAGCCTAGGCGACAGAGTGAGATCCTGTCTCAAAAAAAAAAAGTAAAGAAAAAAACAAAGAAAGAGGACTTCTTCTGTACCTGGGATAACCTTCATCATCCATTGTGCTGGTGCTTGGTGGAGCATCAAGGGACACTGCCAAAAGCAGCCAATCCAACCTTAAAGACTCTGGTTGCAGAAGGGACTCAAGAAAAGATGACCTAAGAGAAAGTTGGGGAAAAAAGTCACCAATCTTCATGCTAAGAAAGGAAGCATAAAATGTGGGGAGTGTGAAGAAAACCTGATTAAGAGATGAATATAGAAGAAGAAATAACTTGAAAACTCTTCTGCTACAAAATGTCTAGAAATGCTGGTGACCAAGCTCCAAGATAACAAAGAAAATGTCAAAGGGCCAAAAAAGAAAAAAAAAAAGGGAGAGAAAGAGAGAGAGAAAGAAAGAGACAAATAAAAACCAGTGTGGCCAGAGTAGGAAGATCACTGAGGCCATAAGTTTGAGGCTGTAGTATGCTATGATCATACCCGTGAATAGCCACTGCATCCAGCCTGGGCAACATTGTGGCAAATGTGAACCAATCAAAAGAAGAAAGGAGGAAGCCGCTAGTCTAATAAGCCAGGGGCACAGGTCACAAGTGTTACAACCATGGGGAGACAGAAAATCAGACATCAGCCTAAAAAGAGAAGAGCTGGAACTGAGATCTATGTCAATAAAAAGGTGGCAGTGAATCTACTCACTGCAAAGACAATAAGAAGCTTATCTTCTTAGTTCAGGCCCTGAATCAAGGGATTAATTTTGCACTGATCTGAGAATCCCTGAGAGGCAGTGAAGAAGTGTGGTACATGCACATTTGTGATGTGTGCTGTGACATGTGGCAGAATGTTACAAGGCCTCCCAAATCCTCCTCTTCCATAGTATGTGCCTCAACCCCTTGGTAATTAACAGTACACAATGTGACACCTGCTTATAAAAGAGAAACAATGCCCTGTCAAAAGAAAGGAGAGTCTGCAAATATGCTCTCCTTCTCACCGCTGATCTTCAGGCCTTGATTTCACCAGACTGTCTAAATAGGCCAAAAACTCAGCAGGATGATGATGACAAAGTTGTATGATATCCGATGGCAAAATGGATGGAAAGAACTTGATTAAGGATCGAAGAGCAGACTCCCCAAACTTTTCATACAACCTGCATTTAAAAACAAAACACTTTAGTCTCTAATTTCAGTGAAATTATATAACTTGGTTACATTTAGGTTACTTATTACAAATGAAAATAAATATACTAACAGAAGCTGCCTCATATGCAAATGAGTAACATGTTAGAGACTAAAATACACAAAAAAATGCATGTGCTTTAGCTCATATAAACAATATACAGGACAACTTACCGGGTAGCATAAACAACCAACAACGGACTATCAAAAGGAACCTCGTCATCTAGTAACTTTAACCTTGTTGGTAGATCTCCTTTTTCCATCTCCATATACACAGGATTGGAACTTGCCATTTCTGAAATATAAAGCATATCCTTTTCCAAACTTTATCTCTTAGGCGGAAATATTCAATTTATGAACATGTTCATTCAGCAATCATTAGTCACGTACCTACTGTGTGGACCTATTATGTGCAAGGCCCAATATTAAGCATTACAAGAGAAACAAATAAAAGTACAAGAGATGTAATTTCTACTTTTAAGAACCTTAAAATCTAATTGGGAGGCAAAGCATATTAAAAGTTTTAAATAAGACGAAGGAACATATAATTAATACATCAGTGACTATTACTCTTAAAATAATGAGTATCTAGGCCTATATATAGCAACTGTCCATATAAGCACACATCAAAAACCAATATACATAGCTATCATCAATGCCAAGTTGCTCAGTTTTTTCTAGAACTAGTATTCCTACTCCATCTTTTAGAATTAAATTCAATGAAATTAATTTTAAAATATTTGACCTTTTTTTAAAGTTACCAGTATAGCAAATACTCATTCTCTGAAGAACAGAAGATTTGACTTTTTGGAATAGCCAAAAGTCACTTAAAATCAAGTCTGGTGAAAGGAGTGATGATCTAAAACTATTTGTGGTTTAAAAAAAAAAAGTATGAATCTAAAGTAAAGTGGGTTTTTTTCCAAGTAGTTTTCTTTTTTAGTTTTTTAGAAACAGGGTCTCATTCTGTTGCCCAGGCTGGAGTGCAGTGGTGATCACTGCAACCTTGAACTCCTGGCTGTGTGTGTGTGTGTGTGTGTGTGCAGCGACGGGGTCTTCCTACGTTGCCTAGCTGCAGTGCCTGTGTGCACACATGCGCACATGCGTGTGTGGAGAGACAGGGTCTTGCTACGTTGCCTAGCTGCAATACCTGGGTGTGTGCATGTGTGTGTGTGTAGAGACAAGGTCTTGAAACGTTGTCTAGGCTGGCATGTGTGTGTGTGTTTATATGTATGTGTGTGTAGACAGGGTCTTGCTACATTGCATAGGCTGGTGTGTGTGTTTTTGTGTGTGTAGAGACGGGGTCTTGCTACGTTGCCTAAGCTGGGCAAGTATTTTTCAACTGCCTCTGAAGACAAATCCCAAATAACAGTTCCAAAAGCTGTTTCCCATAATTATCACATCATTAGAAGGGTGAGGCCTACTCACCAGGTTCTAAGAGCCAACATTCATTTTCTGATACATGCTTTTTTAAAAAAGTCATTTTTTCCCCAGTCTCATTGTTTCCCATTTGACTGTGTCAGGCAATAAGTACTTTAAAGGAATTCAGAGGAGGAGGCCATTCAGAGGTTTGGGGAAGCCTGATGACTGCGCGGGAGCTAAACCAGACATATCCACCTAAATTCAAGTAAGCAGCCATATCACTCAAATTGCCCACCATGCTTCCTCTAGCCAGCACTGGTAGTAACAACTATCACTCTGGCTGATGGAGACTCTTTTCTGCTCTTCTGTGACTGGGTATGATCACATAATAGAGACAGATACAGTAAATTTCCAATGAGTAATAATGTCACACATTTGAACTTACCTGAGGAGAAATAGCTTGTTTCTTATTTCACACAAAAGACAATCTACCTCAACTCAGAAAAAAAAAAATTATTATGCTTTTAACTGCTATATTTGAATTAAAGCAGATCTGTAACTATAGATCCATGTTTCTAGAAAGCTAAAATATCTTTAAGTAAGATGACATAAAAATGTATCTCTATTCACTTTTGGTAATGAATGAAAAGTTGCTTAAAGTCTAAAGTATTAGAAATATGGCATCTGTTATTCAAGTAGGATTTGGAATTAAGAAAATTCACTTCTTCAAAAACATGGGACTATGGCTGCAGAAAGGGCAATGCATATAGTTTTTAGGGTATGATAGCTGGTTTCTATTATATGTCAGGATGACATATGCGACCTTCCGCCAAGGTAGATACTGCGGGCTATGCACCAAAGTCTCTGAGGCAGACATGTAAGCGAGCTCTTCACCTATATTCATTCTTTTCCTCCTGGACAGGTTACATTTCCCAGTTTCCTTTGCAGTTAGTTGTGGCTATATGACAGAATTCTCATCAATGGAAATGTACACAGAAGAGAGGTAAGCCACTACCAGGCCAGGCCTATAAGACAGCACTTTCTACATGCTTTCCCCAGACATAGCAACCCAAACATGACCACATCCCTTAAGGGAAGATGGAGCTGAAAATAATGGAAGGAACTTGGAATGCTAGAATGCTGAATTACCACCTGGGAGACAGCTACCCACTGACCTGGAATACCTGTCCTGGACTGTTACATGAGCAAGAAATACACTTCTATTTATGTATGAGTTACTTCATTATCAGATATTTATTACAGCAGTTTAGCTACCTAAGATCTCTCTCTGCCTCAGACTGCTTATCTATAAAATGGAATAACACCATCTACTCCAAACATTATTGTAAGGATGAAATGAGACAATGCTGAAAAGTGTTTACCATAATATCTGCCACACAATAAGTACCCCATATAGTATTTCTGTATTAGTAAGTTACATGAGAGATTTTCTTCTTTTAATACATCTGCATTTATAAACATTTTACTTTAACCTCAACTTCCCCAGCACTGCTCTACCATTTTCTGAATGTCATTATGAGAGAAATAAAACTAATTTCTAGGGCCAGGCATGGTGGCTCACACCTATAATCCCAGCATTTTGGGAGGCCAAGGTGGGAAGACTGCTTTGAGGTCAGGATTTCAAGACCAACCTGGGCAACACAGTAAGACCCCATCTCTATAAAAAAATGAAGAAATCAGAGGGTACAGTGGCACATGCCTGTAATCCCACGACTCAGAAAACTGAGGCAGGAGGATCGCTTGAACCCAAGGGATCAAGGCTACAGTGAGCCATGATCACACCACTGCATTCCAGCCTGGGCACAGAGTGAGACCCTGTCTCTAAAAATAAAAAATAGGGCCAGGCACAGTGGTTGATGCCTGTGATCCCAACACTTTGGGAGGCCAAGGCAGGTAGATCACTTGAGGTCAGGCGTTTGAGACCAGCTTGGCCGACATGGCAAAACCCTGTCTCTACTAAAATACAAAAATTAGCTGGGCGTGGTGGTGCACGCCTGCAGTCCCAGCTACTTGGGAGGCTGAGGCAAGACAATCACTTGAACCCAGGAGGCGGAGGTTGCAGTGAGCCAAGATGGCGCCACTGCACTCAAACAGAATGAAACTCTGTCTCAAAAAAAATAAAATAAATAAAAATTTAAAAACTAATTTCTTATAATCCAGTTGTGAATTTAACCAATGTCTGAAAGAACTATTAAAAGTTAAAATGAATGGAAAACAGAATAAAGGGTTGACCAGAACAGATGTGATTTTCTACTTAAATCTTTTTTTTAAACCCCAAAATTCAAAACTGCTAATGTTTTTTAATACGAATTTCTATCTTTGATAAGGCAATCTGAGTATTACCTTTCAATCCTTCAATAAAAGTATCCCAAACAGAAGGGCTATTACTGTAACTAAGCTTGATACTCTCCTTCGCTCTTTTCAAGTTCAGGAGAAAAAAGTACTTCTTCAGGAACTGGCAAGCCAGAATTTCAGGAGAGTACTGTTGCAAAGTGTGGTCCACATGTCCACTGGTGCTTTTGATCTTAGAATTCAATACATTCAACTCCAAACATAATGTTGTCAATTCAGCCAGGTCGTTCCGAAGACCACTTGCAATGGCGCATGGAGAACATATTTGAAACAGGTCATCCAAAGACTCCCTTGGACTCCTTACACATTCACATGCTGTTTTATCAACAGATTCTTCATTGCCTAAAGAGTCCCTTTTTTCTTTTTCATTATCTTCATCTAATATTCCCTTTTTTGATTCATTAACTAATAGCACATCCTGGTTCAATTTCATGGATGAGTTGTCAGTATCTGAAACACCTGAAAAGTCCTTCATGGCAAATGTTTTTTCTAAATGTGAAAGCCACTCCTGTAAAACCATTCTCAGAGACTCGGATTCAAATAAAACCAGAGGGTCCTGTAGCTTGGTCCTATACAAGACAGACAAGTATGAAATTCATGTGTCATGTGTTTTTCTTAAAACAAATTAATTCATGCTAATAAATTAACCTAACCAATGTAACATACTCATCTGGAATAAACGTTACTTTTCAACTCTTTAAATAAAAACTATCTCAACAAGATGACAAAACAGAGAACATAAACTTTGTAGTGTTTTACTTTTTTTTTTTTTTTTTTGAGATAGGGTCTTGTTTTGTCACCCAGGCTGGAGTGCAATGGCACAAACATAGCTCACTGCAGGCTCAAGTGATCCTCCCACCTCAGCCTCCTGAGTAGCTGGGAATACAGGTACATGCCACTACACCCACTACACACAGCTACTTTTGGTATTTGGGGTTTCATCATGTTGCCCTGGATGGTCTCAAACTTCTAAGCTCAAGCGATCCGCCCACCTCAGCCTTTCAAAATGCTGGGATTACAGTCATGAGCCACCACGCCCAGCCTACTTCTTCAATTTCAATTCCAAATGAGGCTATCTCTGCCCCAAACTGTCTCAGGACCACTACTGATGGACTCAGAAAGTCATTCCCATTCTGGGCTTGTGTGAAGGCTGCCAATCTTCTCAGTAGTTTTACACACAAAGCTAGGAATACTGGAAGTCAAATACCAAAAAATTAACATGAAGAAAATCTTATTGCTGCCAAGAATGAAAACTTCAGTGCCTGGGTTTTTCCTATTAGTCCTAGGAAGGCAACTTGGACTTAATAAAAGGAAAGACCATTTATAGCAACTTCTCTAATCAACTATATATTTCATACAAGGCCCATAAAAAACTTACAATATAATGATTCACTTCGTTTACTAAACTGCCTTGAGACGTCACTATAAAAGTTTCTCATTATACTCACATTGCTTCTGCTGTTGCTACTTTAAGCTCCTGGAACCTGTCTTCTTCTGGAGGTGGACTAGTTACCTCTTTTTCCTCCCTAAAAAAGTGTGCAAAATAACAATAACATTCACAAGAGTTAGAGGGGATCAGAGCTTTTTTTGAGACAGGGTCTCACTCTGTCACCCAGGCTGCAGTGCAGTGACGTGATCTCGGTTCATTGCAACCTCCGCCTCCCGGGTTCAAGCAATTCTCCCTGCCTCAGCCTCAGAGCTTTCTTAGACAAATATTTCTTTTTTCTTTTTTTTTTGAGACAGAGTCACGCTCTGTTGCCTAGGCTGGAGTGCAGTGGCATGATCTCCGCTCACTGCAAGCTCCACCTCCCAGGTTCACACCATTCTCCCGCCTCAGCCTCCCGAATAGCTGGGACTACAGGCACCCAGCATCATGCCTGGCTAATTTTGTTTTTGTATTTTTAGTAGAGATGGGGTTTCATCATGTTAGTCAGAATGGTCCCGATCTCCTGACCTCGTGATCCACCTGCCTCGGCCTCCTAAAGTGCGTGAGCCACCGCACCTGACCCTTGGACAAATATTTCTCATGCTTACTAACGGCAAGTATTATACTCATGTTACATAAGACAAATAGATGAATAGAAAAGGTGGTCCTTGGCCTCAAGGTGATAAGCTCCAGTAAGCTCTCATTAGAAAGAAAGGCATGCAAACAACTAAGTATAATTTAAAAAAAGAGTAAGTTGAACACCAAAGAGCAGCTCTTTAAAACAGCATTGTGATATGAAAGCAGAGAAGAAGAAATAATTTTTCTGAGTAGGGAAAGGGACATATTCCTAAGGAGGTATTATTTGTCTCACAAAAAATGGCGGGAGAATACTCTGGATAGAAGACATAGCATGAAGAAAGGTAGTGAAGTGTCAGTGTACACACTTAGTTCTCCGATAGGAGTGAAATTTATAGCACTTAGAAGGATGTGGCTAGAAAGGTAGCTAAGGTCAGATAGAAGGCTGCATTAAATGCCATGTCAAAAAATCTGTATTTTTTCTATAAACATATGGATTCACTAAGTTATTCTGAGGATTACAAATCTTTTATTTCATCTGACTGTCCAGATGCACTGGTCCCATGGGTTTCTCTCTTAATTCCTGGGTAAGTGCTGAATTTGTTTGCCTTTAATACCCAGATTCCCTGAACTATAAGGCAGAAGCCAGAGAGACAAGATACTCCACACTATGCCCAATTAAGGGCTCTGCTACAACTCTACTACACAAGGACCAGGCCACCAGCATATTATGGGAAGGTACCTGATAGGACATCAATGCCAACTGCTTGATCAACGTTGCCTAAAGAATCCCTTGTTTTCTTTTTCATTATCTCAATCTAATATTCTCTTTATTAGAGAATAAAGTATTATACTCATGTTACATGAGACAATTAGATAATATAAAAGGTGGTCCTTTTGCTATTGCTTGATGAGTCCTTGACTCATCAAATAATAGCACATTTTGGATCTTACAGGCCAGAGAGCATCAGTGACATTCCCAAAGTCACATACTAGTCATACGCAGAGCCAGGATGAGGTCTAGATCCTTGGTCATCCTACTCTTAATATAATACTCCTGTGAGATCCCAGAAGTTTGAAGAGATTATGGGGGAAGGAGGGGAGTTATGCAGGGGAAAGATGGAAGAAGTACTAAATTAAAACTCTGCTCAATAGATCTGCTTCGGGGTGATGTAATTTTTCAACACTTTGTGGAATTTCACAATTTTTATAAGCTACACAAACAATCTTCAATGAATGCAGACATACATGTGCCTTCTTGAAAAGGACATAGTCTATGGCACAGGTGTCCAATTTTTGGCTTCCCCGGGCCACATGGGAAGAATTGTCTTGGGCCACACATAAAATACACTAACATTAACAATAGCTGATGAGCTATTAAAAAAAAAAATCACAAAAAAACTCATGTTTTCAGAAACTTTACAAATTTGTGTTGGGCCACGTTCAAAGCCGTCCTGGAACACATGAGGCCCACGGGCCACAGGCTGCACAAGGTTGGTCTATGGCTTTCTTAAAACTGACAGCTGGATTCCCTAGAATGTATAGAGATTTATGTGTAAGGGCTTACTCAGTGTCTTCCTCCTTTGGGCAGGTATCTGAACTCACATCCTCTTCACATGATTGCTCATCACCCCTGAGCTCTGGTCTCACTTTCAGATCAGGGCTCGTGTGAAGGGTGCCAATCTTCTCAGTAGTTTTACGCACAAAGCTAGAAACACTAGAAGTCAAATAACAAAAAACTAACATGAATAAAAACTTATTACTGAGAAAACTCAGGTTTTCATTCTTCAGTTTTCTCCCTAATAAGTCCTAGGGAGGCAACTTGGACTTAGTAAAGACTGTTTATAGCAACTTCTCTGTTCAAATAATAGTATTTCACGTATATAAACTTACAATATAATGATTCACATTATTTACTAAACTGCCCTAAGAAATCAGTGTTTCAGCGCTAAAGAAAAGGTCTTTAACTCCAGCTGTATCTGTAATATTTCTGTCAACTTAGGCAAAGCCATGTGATCATCAGCCCCATTCTGGTCACAGAACAAAGAATTGCTTCATGTAAACTCAGCTGTTAACTAGTCACAATATACCCTTCTTAAGCAAAATTTGTATCCAGTAAGACTCAGATGAGCAGTTAAGTAGCTGCACAAAGTCTTCTCTCTTAAACTCAAATGTCAACCCTGGTCCCATGGAGTAGCTAGAAAAGAATTCTGAAAAGACTCCAAGTCTGAGCCCAAACTGACCATTAGAAAGGATCAGCTAAAGACTAATGATACGTGGAAACTATTACCATCAGAGATTTTTAATTTTTGATCTCTTGAGGGTGGGGGCACCTACATCTGCAACAACTCAAATACCAGCTGCTAAAACAGAGGGAAGCTAGACTCTCCCCAAGGTAAATGAGAAGTTAATAGCTCCATATGACAAGTTATATGGAAAACAAGAGACTTCCTTTTTCTCATTTTCCATTCTCAGCACAAATTACCTAATGTGAGAACTGAAATAAGATCAGTAATGGAATTAAATGACAAGACTAATTGGTTTACCTTTCTTTGACAGCCTGAAGAGACACAAGAGGAGATGGAGAACGAAATGGTAATGGAATGCCGAACGGGAGAAAAGTTTCATTCTTATCTGTCTCAAACATCACTGGAGCATGAGAAACATTGTCTAATGAATGGAATCAGGAAAAAAAGAAACAAAATCTAATCACGTGGGAGTTGTTTTAATCTTTAAAAAAATTCTGAAATGAATAAACCGAAAGAAATGAAGGATTCAATACCAAAATCACAACTGACCCAGAAACAAATGAGTGGAACACAGGTTTACAAAATGCATGGGATGGTCCACATAAAACACCGAGGCAGGTACCTTCATTTGCCTACTAACCCTGAGTCCCCATAAGTCAAAAAGGGAGTTTAGGATCTCTATTATTCTCTTCTCACTAGTTCAGCCACAGGAATACTCGCACATCGAAAAAGGAAGGCAATGACCCCCAAAAACTGCAGTAATTTTTCAATCCTGATGAAAAATAATTTGGTTAGTCAGAATAAAATCTTCCCACTCTTTTGGTTAATGACCTTTCTTTCATAACCTTTCCAGCATTTTGATGCATGATCAAAAACAGGCCCTAATGTTAGTCCAAACGTGAGGGGAAAAAATACTAAACATAAACCAACTCTTCTAGTAGGGGGCAGATCTGTAGATCTGGATGGAAAGTTCTATCAACATGTTAAAAATTATTAACACTTCAGAGAAATTCCGTGCACAAGATAATCCTGGTAACAGGAGCTCGTGGAAAATAATGGCTTCACATCAGGAACCAACAACAGACACATTCATCACCTTCATTTCCGTGTGAGCCACAACACTGATCTGGCAGGTCCTCTTCCTGCTGTGAGGTGAATTCTTTAAATCTCTCATCTTCTGAGAGGGTTTGGCTGTGAAGGGAGCAAGAGTCTTCATCTGACTGACTGCCTCTTCTACTACTAATGATACGATAAATACCAGAGTCCAAGATGCTGAAACTTTCCTAAAAATTAAAAGAATTCAAAAAAAAAAAAAGGTAAAAATTTCCTTTATAACGTTAATATAACTTCTGCAGAGAAATACCAACACTCAAATAGAAAGTTAATAACAACCATTATGGCTTATTAGAACAAACTGATGAGCAAGGCTTAGGTGCCTGGCAGCTGGGTCACTCCGTGTGCTAGTGGCATCAGCTGCCATATTTCTCTAGCTTGTCTTCATAAAGCTTGGTAGTGAGAATGGGGATTAAATGAGATAATCCAGACCTGCATTCAGGCTCAAATTAGCATGAAGCACCTAAAATCACATATTAGAGCAACGTAACTTATGCTGGGAGCTATATGAGTATATCAGGGAACAAAAAATAATAAACAATGACAAAACAAAATGTGGCTCCAAGACACACCTAAATGGAGGCTTCACAGAGCTGAGCCACTAGCTGAACAAAAGTTCACCCCTTCCCACCAAAAAACATAAATGGAAAGGACAACAAATTTGGGGATCCTAGAGGTAAATAAGAACAACCGAAGATGGAAAAATCTTACCCTACAAAATCCTTTAAAGGTGAGAATACTTACATGTGATGAAATGGAGCTTCTTCTACTGCTACAAGCTGAATCCAAAGGTTCAAATTTTAAGATCAATTCTTCCAGTTGAGAAATTAGATCATTGTAGGTGCCATGGTCCAGCTGAGATTTCAAATGCTCCAATTTATCTGCAGTCAAAGTTTTTCTTGCCTAATAAAACAACAGCGCAATGGAATAGCTATTTGTAGGTAAATCTATATTCAAATGGCCAATATATTGAAAGAGGTCTAGGCCGGGCACGGTGGCTCACGCCTGTAATCCCAGCACTCTGGGAGGCCGAGGCGGGCAGATCCCCCGAGGTCAGGAGTTCAAGACAAGCCTGGCCAACATGGTGAAACCCCGTCTCTACTAAAAATACAAAAATTAGCTGGGCATGGGGGCAGGCATCTGTAATCCCAGCTACTCGGGAGGCTGAGGCAGGAGAATCATTTGAACCTGGGAGGCAGAGGTTGCAGTGAGCTGAGATCACGCCATTGCACTCCACTCCAGCCTGGGGGACAAGAGTGAGACTTCATCTCAAAAAAAAAAAAAAGAAAAAAGAAATAAGTCTAATATAGAACATAAAACTTCAATGGTGCTTTAAAAAGGCTTAGCAAGCTGGAGAAAGATTTAATGAGAATTTTCTTAGGAATTAAGAATTTAAGGCCATGTGTGGTGGCTGATACCTGTAATCCCACACTTTGGGAGGCCAAAGTGGGCGGATCACTTGAGGTCAGGAGTTCGAGATCAGCCTGGCCAACACGGTGAAACCCCGTCTCTACTAAAAATACAAAAAAAATCAGCTAGGTGTGGTGGCGAGCGCCTGTAGTCGCAGCTACTCAGGAGGCTGAGACACGCGAATTGCTTGAACCCAGGAGGCAGAGGTTGCAGTGGGCCGAGATTGCGCCACTGCACTCCAGCCTGGGTGACAGAGCGAGACTGTCTCAAAATAATAATAATAATAATTTAATTAAAATTTACCATATACGCAATTATCCCCCTTAAAAACAAGTTCTGAAACAAATTTGTATGTAAATTTGATGTTTTAAATGAAAATTGTACCCTCTTTCTTACCCTCTATCCACCCCTAGATATATCTATCATGCTTTCTCTGGGCATGTATTGCTGTATCTGTAGGTCACACAGACAGGGTTAATAAAATCAAGCAACTTTGTAACACAATCTTGCAAGGTAGGAGAGTTTCACCAATCCATGGTAAAGATGTCTAGGTAAGCTCTGACTCACTCTGCTGGCAATGACAGAATTTTGGAAAAGACAGCATGTACGAGCAGCCAAGTTCCATAGGCCTCTTCTTAGCAGGCGTTCCACACAGCGCTCCACAGATATCAGGGAGAGATGTGAGACTTTCCCATTTAGGTGCAAACAGAACAATTCATTCCTACAGACAGCCACATCCTGAATATCTACGAAAACCACAGGTGTGAACATACAAAATGTTAACCAAATACCCCTTACAATTTTAAAAGGGATGCAATTATTCTAATAAATTCATTTCTTACGTAGGGTTTGGCTTGACTGAATTTCATCTCTATTTTTCTACTTGCAGTTCAATGAAGAAATCATATTTTAGAAACTATTCTAAAAAGATCAAGAATAAAAGATGTGAAGAAAGAACTATATCTCTCTGACCTAAAGTCTTATGTTTAAAAATGCTGTTTTCTGTGAAAAGGAATTGGGACATTAAAAGAGGATAATCTACATTAGAGGCCAGACTATAAGGTTCGAGTGTTACAACCTGGTCCTCAATGAATGGATTTTAACATAGTATGTAAATCAATATACAGTTCATGAGAAAATATCTGCCTTCAAGAAAATATCTGTCTTGGCAGAGTATCCTGAAAGGACTTAAAAGACTACTTTTCAAGGGACATACTTAAGAAATTTAAGCCACAAGAAAGTCACTGTTGATGAGACCAGTAAGTAATGATTTCTTTCTCTCTCTCCTTTTTTGGTTTTTACAAACATAGAAAAAGAACCAAAAAGTCAACATAACACTCTCTACTGAGCAGCAATGGTAAAAAAGCTAGATTTCCCCCACTTCTGGTTTTAACCCAAAGAATATAGAGATTGATTTTCTGTCTCAGTCACATATGATGGCTGTTGCTCCCACAAGAACAATTTGAACCCCAAACTATAAAGATACAAAATGGGAGTCAAAGTAAGACTTCTGGCAGGGATAAAGACTCAGGGCAATAGAGGGAAAAATAACCTGTTTGTTCCTTTTCAGCAGTTACTAATGAAAACTGCACTTAAAATTACTCATGAAAACTGGAAGACACTATGTTAAGTGAAATAAGCTAGGAACAGAAAGTTAAAGACCACATGTTCTCATTTATATGCAGAAGCTAGAAAAATGTGATCTCACAGAAGTAAAAAAGCAGAACAGAGGTGACTAGATTCTGGGAAGGGTAAGAGGAAGGAGAAGACAGGGAAAAGACTTGTTAAAGGATACAAAATTATAGCTAGATAGGAGGAATAAATTCTACTGTTCCATAGCATTGTAGGATGACTATAGTTAATAATAATGTCTGTTTTCAAAGAGCTAGAAGGACAATGAATGTTCCCAACATGAAGAGCTAATAAATGTTTAACATGGTAGATATGCTAACCACCCTGATCTGATCAGGGTACACTATACACTGCATGTATCGAAACATATTATGGGGTACATATTTATGTACCCCATAAATATGTACAATTATTATGTGTCAATTAAAAAATAAATAAAATGACTCATGAAAAAATAAATAGCTGAATGCAAATTCACTAATGCATGTTTGGGAAGTAACTTACAATGGGAAATATCTATGGTCAATCTTTAAAAGAAACGTAACTGGGCACGGTGGCTCACACCTGTAATCATACATGTTTGTAATCCCAGAACTTTGGGAGGCTGAGGCCGGCAGATCACCTGAGGTCAGGAATTCGAGACCAGCCTGGCCAACATGGCGAAACTCCATCTCTACTAAAAATACAAAAATTAGCCAGGTGTGGTGGTGCGTGCCTGTAATCCCAGCTACTCAGGAGGCTGAGGCAGGAGAATCACTTGAACCCAGGAGGTGGAGGTTTCCGTGAGCCAAGATCGCACCAGTGCACTCCAGCCTGGGTGACAGAGCAAGACTTAGTCTCAAAAAAAAAAAAAAAAAAAAAAAAGTCATCCCATCCTATTTTTCAACTTCTTAAATTACAAGAGAATGCTCCTACAATAATCAAATTTTCATAAGCATGAGATTAAAAATTACAAAGAAAAATATAATTACCTTTGACTTCACTCCAAAGAAGAACTTGAACATTCTGAGGAATGAAAATATAAATTCCTCTTTCTGTCCAAGTCAGCACACAATGCTCACTGCAAGAGAAGAAGTGAAGAGAATTCAAGTGTGCTAGGATACAAAAGTTTATAATTCCCCGAATTCAGATCCTTGCATTAGCTATTAAAGTAAAATCAAACTGTACAAAGAAAACACAAGAGTGATCCAGCTAATCGAGTCCTAACAACTCCTTTCTGTCTGTAACAACAGCCCACTAATAAATAGCATAAAATGATGCCAAATTGGGAAAATTCAGACACATATACTAGATATTTTCCAGAAAAAGAAAAGGGTCAGCTGGGTGCAGTGGCTCACGCCTGTAGTCCCAGCACTTTGGGAGGCCAAGGTGGGTGGATCACTTGAGGTCAGGAGTTTGAGACTAGCCAGACCAACATGGTGAAACCCTGTCTCTATTAAAAATAGAAAAATTAGCCGGGCATGGTGACATGCGCTTGTAATCCCAGCTACTCGGGAGGCTGAGGCAGGAGAATCACTTACAGGGAGGCGGAGGTTGCAGTGAGCCAAGATTGTGCCACTGCACTCCAGCCTGGGTGACAGCCTGGGTGACTCTGTCTCAAAAAAAAAAAAAAAAAAAAAAAGAAAGAAAGAAAAGGCTGGTATCTGGAAAAAGAAAAGCTTAGGGACCTTTACCTGATGTTCGTTAAAGCAGCTGAACTTTCCATACTGGACATGATACGGGCACATTTAAAACAAAGACTAACATCTTACTGCCAATCATTACTCTAGTGAGACACTTTTAAGAACAGTAATATTTTGATGTTGTTAGTTGTGTGTGCGCAACAAAAAGCTGACAACTCCTGCTCAACGATGTGCCAGGAGCTTTATTAAAGGCTCTGTCTATATTACCTAACTTTGTAGAAGCCAGTCAAGGTAGATATACTATTCTTATTAAAAAGAGAAAAAGCTAAGGCTCAGAGAAATAAAATAATATACCAAAGGCCATTCAGCATGAAATGTATACGAGTCAGAATTTATACTGGATATGCAGGATAGTCTGGCTCCAAAACCTGGACTTTTTTCCTATATAACACAGAATCTACTTCCTCCTCCACTTATCTTCACTAACCTACTCACTATTATCTGGAATCCTAACTATTCCACTTAACTGAATTCTCAAAAAGTCACAGATTCCCAAACTGCCAAACCCAATAACCCTTCATCACTTCCCATTTTCTTAACCCCAAGCAGAAGCCAACCCTGCTAACTGTTCTCTGCTTCTTGAACCTCACCTCCTGGGGCTCCTGGACACTGCATTTTCTTGGTTCTCTTTCTCTCCAGTCCTCTGGTCTGGAGGACTCATTTTTTTCTCCTCATCTTTTTCTATACTTACTCATATAAATTTATCTCATATATTTCATTTATTCTCTCAAGGCTGCTACTATTTTTTATATACCACTGGTAATCTCCACTTCCTAATGCTGTTCAGGACATTCTCCAACTTACAATGTTCTTAATCTAGCCACCTCTCAAGGATCAGAAGTTCTACTTCCCTCTGAAATCCTCCCTTACAGCCCACAACACTCACCCTATTTCTTGCACTCAACCTATTTCTTATACTCTGCTCATATGGCACTTAATCATCTACTGCACTGTCACAACTCTTACTTCTTATTGTTGTTAAACTTTTTGGACAAATAAATCATATCTCTCTAATAAATTATACTCTGAAGAACAGGGACTATATTTCTTTTTCCTTTATGTTTCCAAGAGTACTAAAAATGGTTCCATGTGGCTATGAAACTAATTGATTTTTAACAGGAGTTGGGCCCTCATGTAAGTGTTAAACATTTTGTCAATATGAAAGACCAGATCACTATCCCTACAGGAAAGTAATCTTTGTCATAAAATGCAAGAAATGGTCAGAATCTGAATCCAAAGTAAAATTGAGAAGGCTGCCTTCAAGAGTCAAAGGAGAAAAAAAGCGGGGGGGGGGGGGGTGTCAGAGGATCCCTGAGAAAGAGATACAGGATCATAATTTTGATACTGAACCTGACATTCAGCTTGGAAAATTCCTTAGGAATAGCAACCTAGATTAGATGGGGGGCTGAGGACGGGAACTTAGATAAAAGCTGATACTTGTAATTTATACATTCCTTGTCCCCTTATCCCTTCACTGATAATAAATGGGGACATAAGCCTAACAGCATTGTTTTAGAAGTTCCAGAAAGGAATGTGCCTGAAAGGAAACAAAGTACATAAGGATGCCCCCTCTGGGATTTATGGGTTGCAACAGTAAAAGTCCCATAGGGCACAGTGTACGAATGAAAAACATAAACAAACAGGAATGAAAAGAAGCCCTCCTCTTCATGTTTTCGAAAAAACTCTTTGTTGAATTCACTATCATTTGAGGGTTTTCTATGTGTCTAGCACTGCCCATGAAAAGGAGTTGACAATCTGATGCTGGGATGCATACTCATAATACAGTAAGACAGTGGCAATGATAAAGGAATGAATATGGTTTGACAACAGTACATGCACAGAAATAGGTTGTCTAACGTAAGCCTCTTTGAGGAATCAGCAGAAGTTTCAAAGTGGCGTTAATTGTTGCTTTAGCTGAGGAATAGGCAGAGCCAGATCATCAAAGGCTTTTTGTCTACCATGGTAGGGACTATAACAGCAGCTTTAAATAGCTACAGCCAAAAGAATAACTCTACCAGGAGAGCTAAGTGTATTGTGGCCCGACTACTAGAAAACATATTCTTGGGTACTTTGGGAAGCCGATGCAGGTGGATTGCCTGAGCTCAGGAGTTCGAGACCAGCCTGGGCAACATGGTGAAACCCCATCCCTACTAAAATACAAAAAATTAGCCAGGCGTGGTGGCGTGCGCCTGTGAGTCCCAGCTACTTGGAAGGCTGAGGCAGGAGAATTGCTAGAACCTGGGAGGCAGAGGCTGCAGTGAGCTAAGATCGCACCACTGCACTCCAATGTGGGTGACAGAGCAAGACTCCGTCTCTAAAAAAAAAAAAAAAAACTTGGGTAAGGGACTTCCCAATACCCCGCACATCACATCATAGTCAACAAATATTTATTAAGTATCTATCATGTGCCAGGCATTAGGCCAAGCATTGAAAAAATAATAGTCAACAAAACAGAAATAAAGCCCTCATGGAGCTTACTGTTTAGGGTAAGACATGTATAAATATTATATTAATATGTAATTATAAACTGTGACAAGTGCCACAAAGGAAGAATGCTAAAGGAGGAAGAGTTTTTAATATGCTTTATCTAATTATGGGTAAATAAATAAATGTCTTTCTCTAGTAACTTTCATGAAGAATTATGGAGTTACTAAAGTGTTATAATGTCTATAATTCACTTTTTTTTTTTTTTTTTTGAGACAGAGTCTTGCTCTGTGGCCCAGGCTGGAGTGCAATGGCACGATCTCGGCTCACTGCAACCTCTACCTTCCAGGTTCAAGCGATTCTCCTGCCTCAGCCTCCCTACTAGCTGGGATTACAGGAGCATGCCACTATGCCTGGCTAATTTTTGTATTTTTAGTAGAGACGGGGTTTCTCCATGTTGATAGGCTAGTCTTGAACTCCCGACCTCAGAAGATCTGTCCGCCTCGGTCTCCCAAATTGCTGGGATTACAGGCATGAGCCACACCCGGCCTTATAATTCACTTTTAAATACTTCAGTGTAGGAAGTATGACAAATACATGAACTGGTTTTTATCCTTACCCTTAGAGGCAATTAGTTAACACTTCAATTATTTTTAAAAATCACAAAGAGTGGTTAGTTAGCCTTTCAAAGAACTGAATCAGGTGTTCACACTCCAGTGTACCATATGACAACTTCATACAATATTTGCTGAATTTGCATCAGAGATCTTGTTAACTAGCCTAAGGGATATCAGAAGTAATTTTTTATTGATGAAATAGAGTTCAAGATATTGGCTGGAAATCATACACTGGTACTCTTGCTCTTGCAGAACAAGGTGTAAGAATTGGCAGGTCCAGCAGTTTAACAACTTTTAGGGCAGCACTTTGTGCTGGACTTTGCACCTAATCCAACTAGAAGGCTGGCTGAACTCTGACATTAGAATATGGCTGAAACTGCCTCCAGCAGATCTTTCATGCAAGCATTTGTCAGAGTACCTATAGGATAGAGAGCTGAAATTTCACCAAGCTTACAAGAACAAGTTCTACAACTATTTTTGTGCCTGCTTGCTAAAAACACATACATCTGTGTGGCAGATTTTGATCTGGGACTTGCTTTCATTATAGCATCCCATTAGGTAGGAGAGGTTATGAGGCGGTTAGTAGAGCTATCTTAGCTCCAATTGTTAGAAGTTTCTTGGCAATTATAAACTCTCCAATTGGCTTGGAAAGAGAAGTGTATTTCTAGGATCTTTCCATTCCTTTTAGATACAGAACACTTCATGTAACATAATTATTTCCTAACTTTCTATAAGTAATTTAGTGCAAAAATAACCTTAAAAAACTACTTCTGAACAAGAAACAGAGATAAAAATCTAAGTATTCTTTTTCCCCCCCAGAACTAAGGAAAGTAGAAACTTACCTAAGATGTAAGAGTTTGGGGAAAGACAAAGACTGGGAGGATCCAGCTGTATGATCATACTGAGGTTCTGATCTAGAAAGTAAACACATCTGTTAATGAGTTTATCTGTTAAAAGTATAACATAAAATTACACTTTTCCCAATATAGGGAAATTTTTGCCTCCAAAACAAATTCAAGAGCCTAACTGCATCTGCCCTTATTCGCCTGACACTAATCATAGGAGAGGTAATTATCAAAGACTTCTTTGGTTTTTCTGAATCTTTTAATAAAAATAAAAATCCAACTTCACTCTGAAAAGATAGAATAAAATCTTTTTTTTTTTTTTTTTTGAGACGGAGTCTCGCTCTGTCACCCACGCTGGAGTGCAGTGGCACAATCTTGGCTCACTGCAAGCTCCGCCTCCCTTCACACCATTCTCCTGCCTCAGCCTCCCGAGTAGCTGGGACTACAGGCATGCGCCACCACACCCAGCTAAATTTTGTTTGTATTTTTGGTAGAGACGGGGTTTCACCGCGTTAGTCAGGATGGTCTCGATCTCCTGACCTCAAGATCCGCCTGCCACAGCCTCCCAAAGTGCTGGGATTACAGGCGTGTGCCAACACGCCCAGCCAGGTATAATAAAATCTTTAACACAGATAGAATATCAGAGATTTTCACCGAACCTCTATATAGAAGCTCTTCAAACAATCCCAACCAGCCATACAAATCGTTACCTGAGAGTAATCACAGGGAGAGGTGGCAACGAGAGGAGTTTCTTGAACTGATGTGTACTTATAACTTCTCCATCAAAGTTCACTTCCCACATCCTAGAGCCTGGGCGAGCACAATATATCAGAGGTTGCTGGCCCCCAGAACATCTTCCAGGAAAGAAACAAGCTCCATATTCTCCATCTCTTTCCTTGTTTCCAATTTTCCAAAACTTTTCTCTAACATCCAGAAAGGAAGAGAAAGCAGATTTACTTACAAAAAAAAGTCAAAAACAACGGCACTACAAATCAGCATGGGCATAATAACTCCACTCACAATGCCTTCTCCTTCATTCATATTAGCAATATACTGAAAAAAACAATAGAATGGAAAGATCAAAATAGGATTCTGGCTCTGATTGCCATTAGCTATTTCTATGACAGGAAGCAAATCATTTCATATTAGTACTCAGTTTATTATCCACAGAATAAGAGGCTCAGAATTAATGTAAAGGCCCCTTCCAAATCTAAAAGGTGAGTGCTACCAAACTATTTCGTACATCCTTGAATCCTACTAATTGCTTCTAAAGTCACTTTGTAAAATGTTCTTTGGACACTCCATGGAAGCTACTAATCTAGTTCTCCAACCCTGTCTCCAAGTCACTTCCTCACCACAAACACCCAATAAACTTACTTTTTCCTCAAAAACCCAGGTCCTTCTGAAACTCTGCACCTTGGAGCATTCTGTTCCCTTAGGATTACATGAGTTAGATATATAAAAGAGCTTAGTACACTGCCTGGGAACACGGAAGGTGATAATGATGAGGGAGATGTCTCTTCCTAAAAACTCCTGTTACTTACTCTCCATGATTCCATCATTCCTCCTCAGAAACTTATCATTCCTCCTCAGAAACTTTCCTTGATTCCCATATATGGAATTACACGCTTCCTATGCTTTGCTTTCATAGCACTTATGACATGATATATGGCAATTATGTCTATTTAAACAGCAGATCATGACTTTTCAAGGCAAAGGACAATTCTTATTCCTCTTTGGTTGAATTCCCAGTGTGTAGCACAGTGTCAGGCCTACAAAAAGCACTCAATACATTATAGAGTTCCATAAACTCAATCTCTTTTATTGAAGAGTGATCTAATATGCTCTCTAGCATGAATTTACTAGTTAACCTCAGATAATTCAATAACTACTTCTGTACTTAATTGCTTTATGAATAAAATATAACATTTGCTTTACTTTAAGAACATAGGTGTAAGAGTGCTTTGAAATGTATACAGAGCTGTACAGGAAGTAGTGGTTTTATTACTTATACTCCTTATTTGGGAAATAAAATATATTTCTTCATTTTATATTTTCTATGGTACCTAATACAGTGCTAAGGAGCTGGAGGAACATAATAAATGTTTGCTGAGTGAAAAATGTAATCAATTCATTATCATTTGTATACTCATTAATCTTACTTTCTATTATTTTTCAAACAATACGTCACAGGCACAAAGTTGAGTATTTTCACATATGCTACCTTAGTTAATCCTTAACACTAAATTTACATGAAGCAAAGTCATATCTATCACTTTGGCTAGTCACTAGGAGTCTCAGCTTTAAAAAAAAAAACAAAGAAACAAAAAAAACCAAAAAACTGTTTGTTGGGAGGGAAAACAGGTTGAAACAAAAAGATTTTTTAACATAAGTATATATTTTATTATATTACACATGTCCCCAAAAGCTGAATTCTAGCTAACAGAAAGCACGTCTAAACATGTTATTTTTACAGGAGGTTCTATGATACTGTCATCCAACTTTAGTTATGAAATAGGTACACAGGTGTTGATTACACAATTCTCCCTTCTTTTGTGTAGGCTCAAAACTCTCCATGATAAATTTTTAAAAGGAGATGGTCCTGAGAAATATGATAGCTGCCAGGCCCAGTGAAAAAAAGAAATGGCCAGTGAAAATTTCCTTGCAGTGAGAATGGCTGAGAACTTTGGCATAGTGATGCATAATATTCATTTCCAGCTGTCTGCTATTCTGCTCTGGTATTTCACAGCTACCTCTAATGCACTCCTTTGCCATTCATTGTACCTCTGGCTCTATCTACCCTTGAGATTTTGATGAAATACTTATCTTCATAAAGCTCTTAATTATTTTTCATCCAATTTTACCCTTTAGTAAAATTCTATTAAAATAAAACAAATCTTGAAAACAACAAAACTCAAAGAAGACTTCCTGCTTTCCCATCTAAAAACAGGCCTTTAGCCTTCTCTCATGGCACTTAGAATATGTCTCACCAGCAACGGGCTCACGGAATACTTGTCTTAGTCACCCACTGGACTGTCTTAGACTCCTCTACCTCCTCTCTGCTCTCTAACATCAGCTTGCATACAACTGATTCCTTAACATCTGTATAGCCAGGGGCAGTGGTTCATGCCTATAATCCAAGCCCTTTGGGAGGCTGAGGCAGGAAGATTGCTTGAGCCCAGGAGTTCAAGACCAGCCTGGGTAACATGACAAAACCCAGTCTCTAAACAAAATACAAAAAATTAGCAGGGCATGGTGGCATGTGCCTATAGACCTAGCTACTTGAGAGGCTGAGGTAGGAGGATCGCTTGAGCCAGGGAGGTCAAGGCTGCAGTGAGCCATGATCACACCACTGCACTCCAGCCTGAGTGACAGAGTGAGACCCCATCTCAAAAAAAGAAAAAAAAGAAAAAGAAAAAAAATCTGTATAACTGATTGATGGGGCTTGGGGTAGATAACTTCTAAGTTCCTCCCAGTTCTAAAATTCTGCATTTCTGATGACTAATGGTTGGTCAATATACCTCTCAGTGTCACACAAGAAGGATCGAGTAAGTGAAGATATAAGTAGCCTTCCATCCAAATAATCTAACTGTACAACACAGGAGTCAACAGTTGTGATTGTCTGAACAGGAAACATCACAAAAGCAGCAGCTGCCTAAAAGGAATGTGAGAAAGAAATAAAGTTTATTTAATCATAACATACACATGCAATCTCTTCCTCTTTACCTTGTAAATGAAAATAACTTGAATAGCAAAATAAAATTTTCAAATAAGCCAAAACTTAATTTGCTTGTAAGGATATCAAAGTTTTAGTCACTTAAAAGTTGTATTAAATAATCTGGTACGTAACTGCAGAAGAGATTTCTCAAGGATCTGTTTGTGATTATCTAATCTTAGAGGTTAGAACGAAAAAGATGAAGCAAGGTTTAGAACATGTTAGTCAGGCATGGTAGCACACATCCATAATCCCAGCTACTTGGGAGGCTGAGGCAGAAGAACTGCTTGAGCCTAGGAGCTTGAGGCTGCAGTGAGCTAAGATCATGCTACTATATGCCAGCCTGGGCAACAGAAGAAGAACCTGTCTCTAGATAAATAAAGTTTTGGAGTATGTGAAAGAATTTTTCACCTGTAGATAGCACTTCTCCCTTTTAGAAAAAGACAAAATAAGTTTACTAGGGTTTCTATATTTTAGGTCCAAAATATATTAAGAATCAATTGATAACGTTGATAGGTCATGACGGCAAACCAGAAAAATATTCTGATGTGTTCATTAAAATAAAATAATTTAGCCAATAGCCAGGCGCAGTGGCTCATGTCTGTAATCCCAGCACTTTGCGAGGGCAAGGTGATTGGATCACTTGAGCCCAGGAGTCCGAGACCAGCCTGGGCAACATGGCGAAACCCTGTCTCTACAAAAGTTTTTAAAAATTAGCCAGGCGTGGTGATGCATGCCAGTAGTCCCAGCTACTCAGGAGGTTTGAGGTGAGAGGATTGCTTCAGCCTGGGCAATCAAGACTGCAGTGAGCCATGATCTCACCACTGTACTTCTGCCTGAGTGACAGAGCAAGAACCTGTCTCAAAATAAAATAAAATAAATTTAGCCAATAGTAGTTAGAGCCTTTCTTTTCTGCCAGGATCCTAAATAGAAATAAGCCAATGCAAGACAAATCCCTCTACTTCTGATGTAATGGTCGTGGAGGAGCAGGACAATGAGAAGCTGGTCTATTCTGTCTTAATGACAGACTGGAGCATTCTGTTAGGGTAACCTGAGTCTCAACCCTTCTACTTAGCCATAACTGCAGCAAGAAGCCTGAGGACCTGCAGAGCAGAGCAAAGCCAGAAGGTGTCTTCAAGATTCCATTCAAAATAAGTTATATCCATCCTGATAAAAAATATTCCTAGACCTATGAGTTTCTTCTACACAAGAAGCAGAGAAGACCAGAAGCCTGGGCAATTGGTGTCATTTCTATGTTTGTCACTTTATTCACACCAATAATAAATAGATATCTTTTCTTTCTTAATAGCCTTATACTAAAGAATGCTTTAAATGAGCCATGCAGGTGAATCAGGAAGGACTGCAATAGATAATGTGCAAAGTACTGAAGTTAGTTCACAAAAGCCATTCTGTAACGGTATTGAGCTAACAGGCCACCGTGTGTACTATATAAAAACAGGTCTCCTCAAAATCTCCAGGTTTGGACTCCGGATTAGTCTCCCAAGAAATACAGTAGATAAAATCACATCCTTTAATTGGAAGTTTTATAAGACAACACCTTGTATCTCACTACATACACAAAGAATGGGACTGCTTCTCACCTTTGCTTGTTTAGAAGTATTGAGTTTGATAGCAGAAACCTTCCCAGCATGATCACCTACAAAAACTCTAAGAATAGCTGTATCCCAGCAGAGAGCTGTGACTCTTCGGCCTTTGTGTTCTGAAGACACATACATTTGTTCCGGTTTCCCACGACGCTCTTGATTTAATTCCCAAACAACCACAAGACCTTGACTGCAAGAATTGAGTCACAGAGGCAAACGTGGCAACAGTGAACAAGGTACAATTTTGTTGCATCACAGTATCAACTATATCAAATACATATGCAACTCTTGTTCTTCAGAAAAGAGGAAGTATTATAAAAAGTCAAGGTATTAATTTCCTTGTTTTAGTCACCAAACCAGTTTAATAGGAGAAGTTAAATGATCTAAATTATCTCTGTTCCCTTTATCTTTTAAGGCCTTTGAAATGTTGTAACCTTAAATTAGCATTTTCTACAAATACTAGGATGACCAGCTGTCCATTCTGGTTTGCTGGGTACTGAGAGATTTCCTGAGACACAGGAGTTTCACTGTTAAAACCGGGACAATCCTAGGCAAACCAGGATGGTTGGTCACCCTAACAAACACATGTGTCAATTTAAAATGCATTTGAAAAAGGACAGATAGTTTTGGAACAGATTCTTACCTGGTAGCTACAGCAACATAATCATCATCATGTAAACAACAGGCGACTTGAGAAATTGCACCTTCCTAGAGCACAAAAGAAAATACATTTTTTAAATCTCAAGTTTTACATTATTATTATTATTATTTTTTTTTTTTTTTTTGAGACTGAGTCTCGCTCTGTTGCCCAGGCTGGGGAGCAATGGTGCGATCTCGGCTCACTGCAACCTCCACTTCCTGGGTTCAAGCGATTCTCCTGCCTCCGCCTCCCAAGTAGCTGGGATTACAGGCACTCACCACCACGCCCAGCTAATTTTTGTGTTTTTAGTGGAGACGGGGTTTCACCATGTTGGCCAGGCTGGTCTCCAACTCCTGACCTCAGGTAATCCATCCGCCTTGGCCTCCCAAAATGCTGGGATTACAGGCGTGAGACACCGCACCAAGCCAAGTTCTACATTCTTTTATTCCAAATGATTATTTATATTGGAGAAATTTGCATTTATGAAAGAGACTCCAAATGGTGTATGACAGAGCTGCCCTTAATCTTACCCTGTGTGAAAGAAAAAGCCTGTGCTTCCAGCCTTCTTTCTGAATGAGATGGAGTCCTCCTCCTGAACTGCCCAAAGCCAACCATTTCCGAGACACAGCTATGCTCGTGCACTAAAAACATGTGAAGAGAAGTGTGAGATAATCACAGCTACTTAACCAAATAGACTATCCACTGAAAATAAATACTGAGGATTTATGCATCAGGCTCCTTCCCTCACTTTACCCTCTGCCCATATGGACACAATATGACACTTATTCTCTAGTTCTAGAATAGTAAAAAATACTGAAGAAAGAACATTTTGTTTTTAAACTTCTAAATGAATCTCACAAAGGCTGAATAGGCTCCATTGTATGAGTAATTTTCCCTTGGCAAACGCTGGCTGTTAAGACTTCATATTTTGTGTAATTTGGCTAGGTCATTCCAATGCTGACTACAACAATGGAAGACCAAGGAAGTTACCAGAAGATAAAGCAACCAGGTTAAATATTCGTTCATTTAAATCATTTCTAATCTGTACAAACACCACAAAACATCCACAAGTCTTAGGGTAGGTGAGACTCCATCAGAGAATGCAGTGGTCATGCCGTGCCCAATACCCCGTGGTAAAAGTTATTAGTTGATTGACTAAGAGACATTCCCAATCTTCTTCAATTTTGTTGCTTTTCACCATAGAAGTTGGAAAACCTAAATATTCACCTTCCCAGTTCCCTAGTTGCCAAGGGTTGTCATGTAACTCAATTCTAGCTAATAAGACCAAGGCTGCTGAGGCCTTGATGAAAGATGAAAGGCAGAGCCTGTAGAAAGCCTTTGCCCTTTGCCCCCACTTTCTTGAGATGTTAATGAGAACAGTAAGACTGGAGACAGGACACATATTGCAAAAGCAGCTAAAAGCTAACATATGTGCAATGGTAGAACAGGAAAAATGGGAGCCAGTTATATCATTGGGCCACTACACTAAACCCAGAACACTAACCTCCTATGAGATTATAAACATCTTTACCACGTAAGCTCCTATTAATATGTTACACCATACTGTAATTTGCAGCTGAAAAAATGTCTAACTGATATCAAGCCTCAAAATTGTTACTCATATTACTGTCTATCACTTCCTATTTTCCCTTTCCTCAGATGCTAGTATCTCCTTTAGGGCAGTAGCAAAAGTATAAAAATGAAATTACTTTGGTACTGGTTATGAAACTTTGTTTTTTACCACATCATTCCTGAGTTTAATCAAAATAACTCAGAGATTGAAGGAAGTACATAGTTCTTTGAATTCCAAGGACAATCAAAACACATACTTATTGAGGGAAAAAAAAAAATAGCTCAGGGCAGTCTGAGCTATGTGAAGTATGCAGGCCCAGACAGAAATGAATATGAGATATCAGTCATGCACCCACTCTCTGCACCCACGCCTGGGGGCAATTGTTTAAAGTAATTTTGTCACTGACTAGCTGTCTCACCTGTTACCTTCATGTCACTGAAATCTGTGATACAAAGAACAATGTATAGCCAATCAATAGTTTTTGTTATTTTAATATGAGTTTTTGCTAAACAACTCAGAATCTGCCTCTTCTTTTCCTTTAAAAATCCACTTGGGCTGGACAAGGTGGCTCATGCCTATAATCCCAACATTTTGGGAGGTCAGGATGTCGAGACCAGCCTGGGCAACAGAATAAGACTCCAGCCCTAATTTAAACATTTTTATTTTTAAGAAATCCAGGCCAGGCGCAGTGGCTCACGCCTGTAATCCCAACACTTTGGGAGGCCAAGGTGGGCGGATCACGAGGTTAGGAGATCGAGACCATCCTGGCCAATAAAGTGAAACCCCGTCTCTACTAAAAATACAAAAATTAGCTGGGTGTGGCAGTGCGTGCCTGTAATCCCAGCTACTTGGGAGGCTGAGGCAGTAGAATCACTTGAACCCAGGAAGTGGAGGTTGCAGTGAGCCAAGATTGCGCCACTGAACTCCAGCCTGGTGACAGAGCTAGACTCCGTCTCAAAAAAAAAAAAAAAGGCCGGGTGCGGTGGCTCATGCCTGTAATTCCAGCACTTTGGGAGGCCAAGGCAGAAGGACTCACTGAGCCCAGGAGTTTGAGACCAGCTACAGCAACATAATGAAACCCTATCTCTAAAAAATATATAAAAATTAGGCAGGCCATGTGGTGTGGTACATGCCTGTAGTCCCAGCTACTTGAGAGGCTGAGGCAAGAAGACTGCCTGACGCCAGTTCAAGGCTACAGTGCACTGCAGTGTGCTATGACTCAGCTATGATGCCTGTGAATAGCCACTGCACTCCAGCTTGGGCAACATAGTAAGACCGCATCCCCCCTCCCCCGACCAGCCGTCTCAAAAAATAATCCACCCAGCACTTTGGGAGGCCGAGGCGGGCGGATTACTTGAGGCCAGGTGTTCAAGACAAGCCTGGCCAACATGGCAAAACCCCGTCTCCACTAAAAATTCAAAAATTAGCCAGGCATGATGGTACACACCTGTAATCCTAGCCTCTCTGGTGGCTGAGGCATGAGAATCACTTGAACCCGGGAGGCAGAGTTTGCAGAGAGCTGAGATGGTGCCACTGTACTCCATCCTGGGCAACAGAGCAAGACTACATCTCAAAAATAAATAAATAAATAAATAAATAAATAAATAATCCACTTGTAACTGCTGCTAATCAAAGTGTATATTTAAAGCAACTTTTATCTATGTTCCCAGGTTGTAATCCTCAAGCTTGGCCCTAATAAACTGTCTGCTTATATTATTTTCGCCTTTGTCTGTTTTGTTTTCTGGGTTTTTTTATTCCTTTTGAGATAGGGTCTTGCTGTGTCACCCAGGCTGGAATGCAGTGGAGCTATCACAGCTCACTGTAGCCTCAACCTCCCTGGCTCAAGCAATGCTCCCAACTCAGCCTTCTGAGTAGCTGGGACCACAGATACCCACCACCACGTCCAGCTGATTTTTGTATTTTTTGTAAAGATGGGGTTTTGCCATATTTCCCAAGCGGTCTCAAACTCCTGAGCTCAACCAATCCTCCCACTTCTGCCTCCTAAATTGCTGGGATTACAGGCATGAGCCACCAAGCCAGGGCAGCTTCTTCCTCTTAGCTTCTTCCTCTTAGGTCGACATTCTGCCCAGAGCTAACTAACTTTTGCTTTTCTCCCTAAAACGAGGGTTACACCAGACTCCCTGTTTTGGAATGACCTTAGTATAACTACATGTTATTCAAAATGTAAAGGGGTTATTGGGGCTCAGCAACCAATACCCCAAAATAGGGAGCTTTGACATGCTGACAGTTCTTAGAAGCTGCCTCAAAACCAAAGTCCCTTTAACCTTGTCTCGTTTCCACCTCTCCACCAAGCACAGAGTGGGACTCTCTCCAGAGGAATTTCCTTATCTGACCAAGAAAGCTTCTTTCCAAAGTGGGCCAGGCTCAATGGCTCATGCCTGTAATCCCAGCACTTTGGGAGGAGGCAAGAGGATTGTCTGAGGCTAGGAGTTTGGGACGAGCCTGGCCAACATGGTGAAACTCTGTCTCTACGAAAAACACAAAAATTAGCCGGGCGTGGTGGCAGGTGCCTGTAATCCCAGCTACTCTGGAGGCTGAGGCACAAGACTCACTTGAACCCAGGAAGTGGAGGTTGCAGTAAGCCAAGATCGTGCCACTGCACTCCAGCCTAGGCAAGGGAGTGAAACTCTATCTTAAAAAAAAAAAAATAGAAAGAAAGAAAGAAAGAAAAAGAAAGCTTCCTTCCAAAAGAAATGCAATTGTCCTAAACCCTTTCCCTAAGGATCTCATCAAATAACCAGGAAAAATCAACAGACCGGGAGTCATCATCATGCCCAGATAGACTTTTCATTTATTCTTCTGAAGGTAGCTCCAAGAGTTTATCTGGGGGATTTTACCTGCATAAGTCAGATTGTTCCTATGCAGCTCCATCCCTCACCTTCCCATGTCTGCCTCCCACTTGCTAGGTCTATTCATTCTCCATAATGATTTATTGCCACTCAAAACAATCATCTACATTCTCCATATCCCCACTTCCCTATGAAAGAGGGTACACACAGCCAGGCATGGTGGCTCCCTCCTGTTATCCCAGTGCTTTAGGGAAGCCAAAGGCCAAGGCACATGATTGCTTGAGGCCAGGAGTTCGATGTTATCATGAGCTATGGTCTCACCACTGTACTCCAGCCTGGGCAACATAGCAAGACCCCATCTCTACAAAAACTTTAAAAATTAGCCTGGCATGGTATCGAGTATGTTTAGTCCCAGCTGCTCAGGAGGATGAGGCAAGAGAATTACTTGAACCCAGGAGTTTGAGGTTACAGTGAGCTAGGATCTCCCCATTGCACTTAGGCCTGAGCAACAGAGACAACCTGTTTCAAAAGAAGAAAAAAAAAAGAAAGAAAAGAAAATAAGATTTTATATGCCTTTTCTCCTATTAATCTTATTTTTAGTAGCTGATTTTTAGCAAACCTTCAGAAGATGAAGAGACAGTTTTCTCTTGGTCTTTGTGAGATATACTCATTTATACCATTTTATTTTCAATCAAATATATTACTTTCTGAGAGAAGACAGCAAGAACACTAACGGGGAAAAATGAAGCAAGTCAGTATCATGGTTTCCAGGGATGGTAAATTAGAATTCAAAAGATAGCTCAAAAAATAAATCAAGAAAGAGCTATGAAAATTATACCTCTATGTAAAGTGTCAACCTAAAAGGAAGAAGTTGAGGCCAAATTAACATTGACTTTATTTGGGCCAAGGTTGAGGATGCAGCCTAGGACAAACTTCCAAGTTGCCTTGGGGAATGCTCTGGAAAACAAGAAACTCAAGTTTTCAGAAGAGGCTGTTTGTCAGGAATTCTCATTGGCTTACAGCAATAACATTGATTAGTGATTGGCTATACACTTTTGAACTATGAAGTGTACTGCATTTTATCACTACTTGGTGTCAGTTAGTCTAGTGCCCACATAGCAAGTAGCTTCAAGAGGTAATTAATTAGCTCAAACAAAAGTGATAAAACCTGTAATCCCAGCACTTTGGGAGGCCGAGGCGGGCAGATCACGAGGTCAGGAGATCGAGACCATCCTGGCTAACATGGTGAAACCCCGTCTCTACTAAAAATACAAAAAATTAGCCAGACGTGGTGGCGGGCACATGTGGTCCCAGCTACTTGGGAGGCTGAGGCAGGAAAACGGTGTGAACCCGGGAGGCGGAGCATGCAGTGAGCTGAGATCACACCACTGTACTCCAGCCTGGGCAACAGAGCGAGACTCCGTCTCAAAAAAAAAAAAAGAGTGATAAGAGACTACTGTTTCATTCCAATGCTTCTCCGGGCCTGATAAATTTTTTTTTTTTTTTTTTGAGAGAGTCTTACTCTGTTGCCCAGGCTACAGTGCAGTGGCATGACCTCGACTCACTGCAACCTCCACCTCCCGGGTTCAAGTGATTCTCGTGCCTCAGCCTCCCGAGTACCTGGGATTACAGGCGCGTGCCACCTTGCCCGGCTAATTTTTGTATTTTTAGTAGAGACAAAGTTTCACCATGTTGGCCAGGCTGGTCTTGAACTCCTTGCCTCAAGTGATCCACCCACCTCAGCCTCCCAAAGTGCTGGAATTACAGGTGTGAGCCACCACGCCCAGCCTGGGCCTGATAATTTAAAGGGGCTCACACTCCTCAGATAAAAAGTTTATTTTCTTCTTTTTTTTCCCCCACAAAAGTATGACTAGGACAGGTAAGAACACCCAAGATTCCACAAAACGTTAAGGAACTGGAGGGTAGGGGCACAGTAACAGAGAGCACGTGAAAATGAAACTGATACAAGGATCAAGAAATTCACCTTTAGACGACTGGAGTCCAGCCGCAGGGCTGAGAGTAATGGATCCAGAGATTCAAACTCTGCAAGAACATGGCTGTAGGACTCTGGTATCACTGGCACAAAAGCCATTTAGCCAGAAAGCTGAAACTTGTTGAATGATAGATACAGTATTCCTCACCTGAATAAAATCCACAAAAATATAATTTAAGAAGCCCACCATTCATTTAACATGCATTTAACAAATATGTGGGGAACATAGAGAAACATGAGAAAGTCCCCACTATACAGGGACTTAGAAAGAAAACACATAAGGTAACATCGTATGCCACAGTGTGTTTACATTGTGTCATTCCCTGACTCTAAAACTCCCAGAGTAGCAGGTACGGATTCTCAGGGCCCTCCATAAGCCTATCCCCCTGTATTATCTAACAGTGTGAGTAAACAGAATAGGTAGAGTAGGATTTAGGAAAATTGGCATATCACCCTGAGTTAAAACAGCAACCTTGCTGCTGCATTTCTATGAATACTAAATCTTCTGTCTTTAGGAGTCTCTCATTAAAACGCAATCTTCTGTAAAGGCCTCAACTTATTAACTGTTATCAGCAAACCCTACAGTTATCAGCTAACAATTTAACAGTGGTTTATAGGAATAGGCCACTAGACTTCTCTCTTCAACCGAGCAGGGGCTTAGTAAGTATGGTGAATGAATGAACAGATCTACTAAGTGAGAAGGTACAGGGAATTAGAGCACAAAGAAAAATAAGCGCTTCAACAAAAGAGACTAGATAGGACAGAATACGGATAAGAATACAAGGTAACAAATGCCAAATAACCAGTGAGGACTTTGTAAAGTAACACGAAAGTTTTTATGTGTTCACCTACTCTCAAATGCACTTTTTTGTCAACTTGCACCAATCTCCAGAAAAAAAGAAAAGAAAATTCTACTCATTAATTATAACTTTTCTCAATCACTTGTTACCTGCCAAATTTAGAAAGCCAATGAATACAACAGAAAAAGTCATGAACTGTTTATACATTCTTGTTGTTTGTTCATGCTTTACGTTTTTGACTTTTTTTCCAGAAACATATATATTCCATCACTCATTTATTCAACAAATTTGTACTGAGCACCCACCTACGTGCCAGACATTATTCTAGGTCCTGGAGATGATAAAGTTCTAACCCTCATAGAGCATACTTTCTAGTGGCAAAACGAAGACTATATTTTTTATTGCACACACATAACACAATCTTATTTTCTGCTAGTAACACTGTTCCTAATACACCTTGACCTCTGCAAGGAGAATGTTCAGGAAAAAAAAAAAGAAAAAACCCAGAAAGAAACTTTCACATGCCTGTACTCAAAATATTTGAGAATTATTGACCTAAGAAAATCTTCCCTCATTGTTTTCACTCATTCATTTCATTGAGTACCTAGTAAAGTACCAGGCACAGTGGTAAAAATAAGACAAGTAAAATAATTCCAGAAGTCAGTCAGTTTATAATACGGAGGAAAAGACAAATACCACACACACACACACACACACACACACACACACACACACATCTTATAAGGGAAACATAAGCAAACTGCTTTGTTAGAACTTTACAGGACAGAGGGATCACATTGAATTAAAGGGAACTGAAGAAAACGCTCTAAGGAAAGTAGTACTGATGCTGACTAGGCTTTTATCTCAAGGAAAAGGGAAAGGGTAGCAGGTAGGGTAGCAATAAGCAAATATATAGAGAAGAAAAAAATGCAGAATATACTAGAAGAATACAAATTTAGTCTTTGGTTGAAACAGGATACAAGCAACGGAATAATGAAAGATAAAGCTGGAATCTTAATTTGGGCCCAAGTTACAAAACACTTTGAATTTCAAACCAAAGAACCTGAACTTAACTTGGCAGGCAACAGAAAGGAATTGAAGAATTGTGTGTTGGGAGGTCACACAATTTCTGTAAAGTGCTGTGGGTGGTTAGATGCTAGAAAACAAAGACTTGAGAAAACGGGTGGGTGATATGAAAATGAGGATAAAACATTTCAATTACTCAAGAAGTCTGGTGGAAAAGGAGAAAACCTCTCTTGACGTTATTATTGGGGAGACTCTTCAACAGATTTGTAGGTAGTAGCTAAAAGTAGAGTCTAGAACGAAAGGGACTGAAGATTCAAGAAAAAGATAAAACCATGGTACAGGATCCAAGAGATGGAAAGGAATGATAATATCATAGTGTCTCTTCTACTTGTGATCTTGAAACAAAGAAACTCTGAGTAGGTCATTTTGCCTTAATCTCGGTAAAAAGAGAATGTCCTGGAAGTTATAATATAATGCGGGGGTGTGCAGGGGGACACACCTAGTAAGTTCTACTGAAAAGAAAAAAAGAATTTAACAGAAATGAGAATGGAAAATAAAAACAGCATAAGCAATGCCAATTCTCAGAGAAGCTGCTGAATGACAGTGTTAAACCAACTTCAACTTTATACTTTATGTTTACTCTCCCTGAAATGACTGCTTCCCTTCCAGATTTTCTTATCCAAACATACCCAGCTTTCAAGATCGCACATGAGCCCTACTTCCTAGAATTCTCAAGATGGAAAAAGATTCATAGGTAATTCAGTGAACATGTCCACCTAATTCAGAAATTAGTTTTGCCCTAGATCCCTGAACATTTTCAGCCATGGAAAGAAAGCACTCACTCTCATGAAGCTGCCAATTCCAGTCCTCCAAAGGGCTCACTATTATAAGGTTCTTTTTAATACTATGCTGAAGCCTGATCACTTAGAGCTCTACCATTATTCCTAATTGTATGTAGCTTCTACAGCTGAAGGGAACAAGCTGTCTCTTTCCAAAACAATCCTTCTGTATTTGAAAAGCATTATCAGGTCTTCTAAAAATTTAACATTCCCAGTTTCTTCATCACTCCTGACATGACATTTTCCAACCCTCTGTTCCAGTCAACCTTCTACAGAGGCACTGTAGTTTGCCTAAAAATGAGGTGCCTAGAACTGAGCATAATACTCCTTAAGTAGTTAGATGAGCCCAGAATAGAGTAGAAACACTAACTTCCTGGATCTAGACACTAAGTTTCTATATTACAACCTAAAAACAGTATTAGTTGTGTTTAAGTGGCCATGTTACACATTGATTCAACAGAGCAAGTGGTCAACTAAAACCCAAAGAAATTGTTTACATAAATAAAATCTTCTTAGCCAGTAGCTACATACAGTAGAACTGAGCTCAAATTGAAAGCTGCTATTAATCAAATGCAACAATGGATATAAAAAGTACCTAGAAATGTACAAACAGTATAAAGAGGAACAGCAGAATGCTGATAATTGTTCAAGTTGCGTTAAGTGTACATGAGGGTTCAATTTATTATCCTACTTTTGTCTGCGTTTGAAATTTTCCACAATAAAATTTAAAAAATATATACATAATATTGTACAAGCCTTCAACAGCTCTATTTCTTGAAAATCTGTTATCTCCTCCCTGCTTCTTTTTCCAGCCTTATTTCCCATCTTAACCTCTCTATTCTCCAACTACATTGGACTCGACTCTTTTTTTCTTTTTCATTCCATAAACTTGCTGTGCCTCCATGGTTTAATATATGATGTTTATGGAATCTTCCCCCATTTACCAAAACCCTACCTTTCTGCAAAGCTGAGTTTAAATGTTACTTCTGTGAAGGCACTCTACCAAAAACTAAGAACATAGAAGTTGGCGACAAATGCTTAACCAAAGTAAATGAAACAACTTTTGGGAGACTGGCTTGCCCAAGGATCACAGAGTTCATAAATGGTAGAGCTGAGATTAGAATACGCGTCTCCTGAATCCAAATCTCATCTTTCCATTATCGTAAAATAGTTCAGTGTTTGTTGCTCACACATCAAATGCAAACATGTTTCTCTTTTGCCCCAGTAGGTGCGTGGAGGAAGAGGAGAAAGAAGTAAGAAAGATAGCAAAAATTGAAGAAATGAGAAGGGGAAGTTGCAGACTGCCTCATTTTCACAATGGGATCTTTCTATCCAAGAAGAAATGATCAGAAAACAACTCTCTGCCTCAGACAAATGGCGACTGACTCATTTATACATTCATTCATTCAACATTCTGAGTGCCTACTATGTTCCAGGACCTGAACACACCGCTAGAGACACAGGGATGAACAAAACACAATCCCTACCCACAAAAAGCTCCTTGCCTAGTGGAACTACTACCTTTTTAACAGCAGTAACTTTAATATCTTGAGATTTCTTGAGAGGAGACCCAGTAACCAATTTTCAAAGCCAGGCTCACAGACCAGCAGCCCGGAGGTCCCAGCCCAGCTCCACCACATCCAGGGCAGTACCTCGCAGCTCTCAGTAGATCGGATCTTGTCTCCCGGCTTAGCGCCGGGGAACTCACCGCGCACTAAGAGCGGAACGTGAACTTCAGTCTCCCCTCGCGTTCCTCCCCTTCCTTGCTGACGTCATCCAGGAGAGCCGCAGACTGGAAACAACGCTACTAACGGCACTTCCTCATCACGTGACGAGTCACGCCCCTCCTTCCGCGTGGTCCCTCCCCCTCAGGCCGCGGTCGCGATTACGCTCTCTACGGCCTGCGACCGCAGGGCCGTTGCGGGCTGGAGACACGGCGCCGACTGGAACCGGAGGAGCTCTAGGCCAAATGGTTGGGCCAGCCAGGATCCCAGGACCCTTCGCCGCTCGAGACCGGAGAGAGGAAACGAAACAGGCGGGAACCCGTGGGGGAGGGAGGGAACTAGCGGAAGGTGTCATGGCGGCCGCGCTCTTGAGTCACGTGCCCAGGGCCCGCCTTGCTACTTCCGGTCACGTGCCCTCAGACTCCTCGCAGCCAGCGATGGAGGCGAGACCCCCTAGTAACAGAGGCGGTGGCTACTGCTGCGGCCACTGGGTTTCGGCCTCTTCCCAGCAGCGGCTCTAAGAAGCGCAGCGGAACTCGACCGGATCCAACCCAGTTAGTTACTTCCTGTCTAGAGT
Organism: Homo sapiens; assembly: GCF_000001405.40. NCBI lineage: Eukaryota > Metazoa > Chordata > Mammalia > Primates > Hominidae > Homo > Homo sapiens. Next base: position 71,552 of record NW_021160006.1, read on the forward strand.
TGTAGCTTCCACCTGGTAAGTTTAGACCGAAGAATGCAGGCGGGCGGGTGGGTGGGCGGGTGAGGAGCTGACAGGCCTGGGGGCCGCTGGACGGCGTGGATTCTACCCCTGTTCCCAGCGTCGCTGTCGCCGTCCTCCCAACGCCCAAGCCTGGCGTCTTGTTTGCCCTTATCCCGAGGCGAGGAAGAGGCGACCCCTAATCTACTTGTCTAAAGGAAACCTGCTCTTAAATTGAGAGCAGGTTTACCCAAAGCCAGGATCAGATTTGGCTTATGAGAATGAAGTGGAGGCCTCTCCCAGACAGAGAAGCCCTTCCCGTCAGGAAATGTGCTGTTGAGTCTGGGATTCTGTAAGAGAAAAGCTGTCACCTTGTTGTCTGCACACCTTTTGCTTCCACCTGTCAATCTTACCTCTCTTAAAAACCTTAACACGTGCCAGTCCACACACTCCTAGTTTTGGTCATTTGATTGTCGTGTAATGATGAAAAATAGACCATGAGTACCTGGATATATGTAATTATTTTGTAAATCCCCCAGTGTTCTCAAAGGCCAAATTAAATAAGGAGGTGACTTTTCTTATTTTTTTTTAAGAGACAGAGTCTTGTTCTGTCGTCCTGGCTGGAATGCAGTGGCGTGATAATAGCTCACTGTAACCTCGAATTCCTGGGCTCAAGCGATTCTCCTGCCTAGACCTCCCAAAGCGCCAGAATTATGCTACAGTGCCTGGCCCCAAATGACTCCTAAACTCCAATTTTAGCATCAGTAAAATGGGGATGGGGAAAGAAGATATGAAAAATACACCCTTTGTCCATTTGAAGACCCAGTCTTAAAAACAAAAACAAAAAAAAAACTGAGTGGTTTGAATGAAATGTGCTTTGCAGTGAGTATTGACTCCATACAAACCAATATCCAGACTTGTGATTTTCAAACATTTTAAAGGAGTGGAACAATTTCTCCCCATGAATTTTTATCTGGAACCCAATATATAAAGCAGCATGCTCTGGTGGAACTAAATTTAAAAGGGCCAGGCCCCACCACCCCACTTAACTTCTATCCTAGAGGCCACTCCTTGGAACACAGTTTGAAAACCACTGAACTGGACTTAGGTAATTAAGCCAAAGTTGCCAACCTTAAGATTTTTTAAAAGACAAAACCAGAGCAGTTGAGATGGAGAGGTCACAACCGCAGGGAAGGTAACCTCTAGTAGCAGGCCTTGGACTTAGAGAAGGACTAAACTCTGGAGAGAACTTTGTACCTGTTAGCAGGCTTAAGTCCCTCATTCAGAAAGGAGAAAAAAGAGATGGTCTGCTATCCTCACTCAGCCGACATTTTTTTTTTTTTTTGAGACGGAGTTTTGCTCTTGTTGCCCAGGCTGGAGTGCAATGGCGCGATCTCTGCTCACTGCAACCTCCATCTACCGGGTTCAAGGGCTTCTCCTGCCTCAGCCTCCCCAGCGGCTGGGATCACAGGCGCACGCCACCATGCCTGGCTAATTTTTGTATTTTTGGTAGAGACGGGGTTTCACCATGTTGACCAGGCCATTCAGCCGACTTGTAGCAGTGCAACAGATTGGTAAGTTTGAGTCTCTCTTAGGTGATATAAAATACACATTGCAGTACAAATGTGAAAAAAAATCAAAGCAAATTCAGAGAGGGCTTTTGAAAAATACTAGGAAACTTGGTGCAGTGTGGGAGAAGAATCAGTTAAAAGTAGTGAAGCCAGCGACCAGCACCAGTCCTGGGTTGTGAATGCTTCCTGTGTGTACTGCCCTCAAGGCTTGTAACTTCTCCCTGCTGGTACCATGTGTCCTGCCCTCTGATAACCTGCTTCTCTGTGCTATTTTATTCCCTACCATCAGAATGTTGTCTGGCATACCTTGAGCTTTCCTAGCATTTTGGCCACCATTTATCTCTGCCTTATGCATACTGCTGATAGAGATGTCTTTGTGCCCTTCCTTTCTCTTTCCTGCCTTCAGTGTGGCAGTATCAGCCATTGACCTAGTAGTTCCTCTTTTCACCACTTTGATTACCAACTGATTACTCTTCTCTCAATTTTGGTAATATACTCTTGTCAGCATGCAGTATTTATTAATGGATATGAGCATATTTTCTTCTGTCATGCATCTCTGTCGCATTTTCCTCCTGCCTCTTCCCTGCACTGCTGTAAAATGTACAAGTGCTCAGTCCTAAAATTGCCACATCAGTTATTCTCCTTAATATCTTCCTTGTCTGTGAAATTATCCTTAAAACAGTACATTTTGGTCACTCTTTACATACTTATAAAGTTATTCCCTTTAATGCTGAATTGTTCAAACACTTTTGGATTGCTTGATGGCAAGCAGCATTCCAAATCTCCATTTTTGTATGCTGGCAGATATAACAGTGCTCTCTAGTAATCCTTCTTTCAGAAGATTTCTCTTTCACTTGTTGCTCCCTATCTCCTCTCCTCCATTTATCTCTTGCACATTGGAAAAGGGGATGTAGGTAATGGAAATGCAGAGGTGCAGTAATGTAAAGATTTGTATTCAACCAGTTCATATTCTTCCTTATCACTGTTGCCTTTTAAGAGCAAGATCCAGTTATTAGAATCTGTATGAGAAATGGTACATTGATCTGTGAATTGAAAACTATAGTGGTTCCCGGAGTTTAGGCAAAGATGTATATGCAAAGATTCCTTATTATGTCTTAGCAAGAGATTGTATTCTTTTAACAGCAAGATCTTAAATGATGTCATTGATACTTCTTGGACTCTTCTTATAGGCCAAACACTATATTACTGGGTGCTATATTACAGAGAACCCGACATATATGGCCTCTGCCCTCCCTTATGAAGCTTGCAATCTGTCAGGAGACGTGTACATTAAAAGAATCACATTAAAAATTATGTTGTTGTAAGTGCCATGAAGAAAATAATAGGAGACTTTAGCTGGTAACTTTGAAGCTTAACATAGACTGAAAAAAAAAATGAGTGAAAGTTAGCCAGTTGATGGGAAAGGAAGAGAATGTACAAAGGCTCAGAGCAAGGTATATGAATTTAGATTCGGACAAATACATTTTTAACTGCAAATAAATTAATGCCTTTAATATAGATCTTGCTATTTAAGGAAGTCTTAGACCATTTCATAAGTAAATAGTCTTTTAGTAAAGCGAGATCTTCATTGACCTGATCTGTTTAAATGTAGCCTACACCAATAACTTTCATAAATTTCTATGGCTCTTATAGAGTTCTCCTGGGAAGAAGTGTTTGCCACTCAAGGAATACACTCAAGAAAAACCTGGAAATCACAGAAGGCATTGTAAGATAGCTACAGTGATTCTGTTAAACCTCCTGAAATTGGTCCTTGAACAATTAAGAGGTGCTACAGATGACCAGGAAAATTTACCAGGCAAATTAGCTGTGAGACAATTGACCATTTGTGCCCAATGTTCGGTAATTTATCTCAGATTTATTTTTTAAATTTCCCCATAAATGAATTTTGATATAAATGGTTTTATATGTTATATATAAGAGGTTATGGCTGGGCGTGGTGGCTCACGCCTGTAATCCCAGCACTTTGGGAGGCTGAGGCAGGCAGATCACCCGAGGTCAGGAGTTTGAGACCAGCCTGGCCAACATGGCGAAACCCCATCTCTACCAAATGTAGAAAAATTAGCGAGGTGTGGTGGTGCGTGCCTGTAATCCCACCTATTTGGGAGGCTGAGGCAAGGGAATCGCTTGAATCCGGGAGGTGGAGGTTGCAGTAAGCCGAAATGAGGCCACTGCACTCCAGCCTGGGTGACAGAACAAGACTCCTTCTCAAAAAAAAAAAGGTTATGTTTTTCCCAGTTGCTGTAGTCAGTTCTGTCTCATGATGTATTCTCCACTTTGCAGTTTCTGTCTTCATGCATTTTTTTACCTTCTCAACTCATAAAGGTCTTTGTATTATTTTCCAATACTAACACTTTATTTGTGCCTGTAAGTCCAGTTAATTGGAGACTTGCTCTATCAGCTGTCCTTGCTCACTGCTTTTCTTCCAACTGCTGACATACTTAAAATTATCCTACTTAAGTAGGATAATGAAGTATCAACATACTTAAAATTATTTGCCAACTTCCCCGTCAGATCCTCCCCTCATCTTTCTTAGATTTTAATTCATTTTTCTTAAAACATATGTTTCCTAATTTGTATGGTTTGCAGTCCAGTTTCATATTCTACAGAGTGGGCTTTTTAAAATATGTTCTCTAACTCCCAACCTCAAGTGATCCACCTGCCTCAAAACCTCATCTCTACTAAAAAAAAAATAGAAAAATTAGCTGGGCGTGGTGGCAGATGCCTATAATCCCAGCTACTTGGGAGGTTCTGGCAGAAGAATTGCATAGTTATATGTTTATTGTAAAGAATACTAGAAAATGAATGTTAAAATAAACTATTGAAAATAGAAAACACTGTTTTCAAATTCTCACACTAGCACCCCTAACACTTTCCTGGGTTACCTTTATAAACATTTGGTTTGATAGAGAAGAAACTCTTGGGAAGACTTTTTTTTTTAATAACTGCTCTAGTATAAAATACATAATTATTATAGATCAGAAAAGAGAACATTTAAATCATCTGTATTTTTATCACCCATAGATAATCATTATTAAATTTGGTATCTATCCCTTCATTCGCATATATTTTCAGAGTAACATAGTGAAATTTCAAAGACAGACTGACCCAGATTCAAACCCAGTTCTGCTACTTCCCTGATGGTTTAAGAAAGCCTCTTGATTTCTCAGACCCAGTTTCCTTATCTACAAAATGTAACTAATAATAGAACCTACCTCATGGGATTATTAACTGGGGACTGAGATAATGCCTATAAGAAACTTAGTGCAGAACCTGACACATTATTAAGCATTCAGCAAATTCTAGATGATGGAGAATACTCTGTCACCCAGACTGGAGTGCAGTGGTATCATCACGGCTCCATCTCCCTGGACTCAGGTAATCCTCTCATTTCAGCCTCCCGACTTGCTGGGACTACAGATGTGTACCACCAGGCCCAGCTAATTTTTATAGTTTTTGTAGGGACAGGGTTTTGCTATGTTGCACGGGCTGGTCGCAAACTCCTGGTCTCAGGCAGTCTGTCCGCCTCGGCTTCCTAAAGTGATGAGATTATAGACGTGAGCCACCCTGCCCAGCCTAAATTTTAGATTTTTTTAAATTTAAGAATATGGGGCAGGCCGGGTGTAGTGGCTCACGCCTGTAATCGCAGCACTTTGGGAGACTGAGGCGGGGGATCACTAGGTCAGTTCGAGAGCAGCCTGATAACATGGTGAAACCCCATCTCTACTAAACATACAAAAATTAGCCAGCCATGGTGGCATGTGCCTCTAACCCCTAGTTACTGAGGAGGCTGAGGCAGGAGAATCACTTGAACTGGGGAGGCGGAGGTTGCAGTAAGCCAAGATCGGGCCACTGCACTCCAGCCTGGGTGACAGAGGGAGACTCCATCTCAAAAAAAAAAAAAAAAAAGAATATGGGGCCAGGCACTGTGGCTAACGCCTGTAATCCCAGCACTTTGGGAGGCCGAGGCAGGTGGATCACCTGAGGTCAGGAGTACAAGACCAGCTTGGCCAACATGGCGAAACCCCGTCTCTACTAAAAAATACAAAAATTAGCCGGGCGTGGTGGCAGGAACCTGTAATCCCAGCTACTTGGGGGGCTGAGGCAGGGAGAGTTTCCTGGAACTGGGAGGAGGAGGTTGCAGTGAGCCAAGATCACGCCACTGCACTCCAGCCTGGGTGACAGAGCAAGACTCCATCTCAAAAAAAAAAAAAAAAATTTTATGGAATCATGCCAGGCATGGTGGCTCACACCTGTAATCCCAGCACTTTGGGAGGCTGAGGCGGGCGGATCACTTGCGTCCAGGAGTTCAAGACCAGCCTGGCTAACACGGCGAAACTCCATCTCTACTAAAAATACAAAAAATTAGCCAGGCATGGTGGCACATGCCTGTAGTCCCGGCTACTCTGGAGGCTGAGGCAGGAGAATCGCTTGAACCCGGGAGGCGGAGGTTGCAGTGAGCCGAGATCGCGCCACCGCACTCCTGCCTGGGTGACAGTGAGACTCCATCTCAAAAAAAAAAAAAGAATATGGAATCAAACTACATGCCTTTTTTTTCTGTGTATCTTTTCATGTCATTAAATAGTCTTAAAACAGTTTTTTAAACTTCAAGAAGGGAAAACTCTCAAAGTCTTAAGACATCAAATAAGTCAGTTAAAAGGTGGTATCGTTTATTAAGAATTGTGATCCTTTATCATATTTGATATATGGATATCAAAATGGGATTGTAAGAAAACAAATTCTCAGTGGTGAGTAAAAATCACAAAATAATGGACTTGAATGTATTTTATGATTACATTTGTAAGGTGGGTACAGATAAGGTAAGCACAATTAAAAATGAGGAAAATTGATGTTAGGGTTGTGACATGGAATTTTTTAAATCCCTTTTTAATTAAAAGCAGTCATCTAATCGGGCTTTATTCCAGCGTTTGCAAATGCCTACATAATGCAGACTATCTCCACCTGCATGACTCAGCAGTACCTCACATTCATCATGTCCGGAACTGAATTCCTTATCTTCACTTTCAAATCTGCTCTTCCTTCTCATTAATTTCTGAAAATGGTACCACTGTGCTCATGTCAGTAAGGCTCAGAAATGGGGTATGGGCAAGCAACCATGACGCTTCCTTCAGCACTTTAACAATGTCTGTTCATTCTGCTGCTTCAGTGGTCCTCCTTGTCCCTTCCTCTCCAGTCTCTCCTGCTGCTCACAGATTAATTTCTAAAATACAAATCACTCCCCTATTCAAAAGTCTTCAGAAGTTTTCTGTTGTTTGCCACATGGGGTGGCCTTCTCCACTATATGCCTCCATCTTAACCATCCAACCTCATATCCTACTGATCTCATGAACCTTATGCTATATCCTAAGCAGATTACTCATTCCTAGAGAGTTTCAGTCCACTGCCCCAAACTATTTCCTTTGCCTCTGACACCTGTTTCCCTTTACTTTCTCTGTAGAAGTCGTCTCTTCAAGACCCAATTTATAACCAAACTATGTATTAAACAGAATGAACTGATACATATACAACAATATGGTGGATTTCAAAAAACATGTTAAGCAAAAAACTAGAGACAAAAGGAGTACATACTGTATGATTCCTTTCATATGAAATCCTAGAACAGATAAAAACTAATCTGTGGTGATAGAAATCAGAGTAGTTGCTAGAGGTTGGGGAAAAGAGATTGACCTGAAGGAAACATGAGGGAATGTTCAAGGGTGACTGAAATGTTCTGTCTCTCATTTTGGGTAACTGTAAATGGGTGTGTACTATAGTCAAAACGCATCGAACAGAATGCCTAAGACCTATGTATTTGTTGGTTTGTTAATTATATCTTAGTTTTTTAAAATGGCTTTTTAAAAATTCTGTGGCAAACATTTCTCATGGCTTTCTGAGTGAAGAAACTGCCTCTTGAGTCCTAACTTGGAACATTTTTGTGTCCCTTTTGGGACTTCATGTCGTGGGTAGCAACTGTCTGAAGCTGGTGGCACCAGTAATAAAAAGAATTCACCAAGACAGTTGTAGGTAAAGAAAGGCAGATTTGTTAGAGAAAGTAGGAAAATATGTTGCAAGAAAGCAACGTGCAGATTAGCAAGCGGAGAGCTGACTGCAAGGAGACAAAAGCTTCCAGGGGATTTTATAGGATTGTACTTTTGTTGAAGAGGGCTACATGAAGTACTGCTAACACCAAGGCTGCAGTGAGCTAACTTGCATTTTTCTATCCGCTGAGGTTCTGGTGATAAGTGGGGCACAGGAAGATTGTGAATTATTTGCACGGGAGGGCTATGTGTCCTGGACCATGAAGAAAGGCTGACTTGTAGCTTATCTGCTTTTTCTTTTTGCTTTCCCCTGCTCCCACCAGCCTGACTCCTTTTCCCTAATTAGGAGTCTACACACATTCTAATTAGTATACACTAACAAATAGCACACATATACACACTTGCTCACTGCCCTGGAAGATCTTTGAAAGCAGAAATCAACAGACGTTCATCTTTGGATAGTCCCCAGGCTCCTTGGCTCAGTACAGATTTGTTGGATAAATGTATTCACATTGACCTATTTCCTTTCTGTTCTCGGGATAGAATAGCCTGTAAAGACCTATAAAAGGGGTATCTGACTACTCATACTTGAGATAATCAACTTCAGAGAAAGTAAGGTTTCACTTTTTTCCCTGTATTTTTTATTTCTAACTCATTGTTTGAGCGAATAAGAAGTAATAATTGTTTTAATCCAGTGGTTTGTTTTGTTTTGTTTTGAGGCAGGGTTTCACTTTCATCCCCAGGCTGGAGTACAATGTTGCGATCTCACCTCACTGCAGCCTCTGCCTCCTGGGCTCAAGCGATTCTCCTGATTCTCCCGCTTCAGCATTCCAAGTAGCTGGGACTGCAGGAGCACATCCTTTTGCCCGGCTAATTTTTGTATTTTTTGTGGGAATGGGTTTCACCATGTTGCCCAGACTGGTCTCGAGCTCCTGAGCTCAAGTGATCCACCTGCCACAGCCTCCCAAAGTGCTGGGATTATAGACAGGAGCCACCGTGCCCAGCCATATTTATTAATCTTAAGAGGTGTTGGTTTGCTGGGCGCAGTGGCTCACACCTGTAATCCCAGCACTTTGGGAGGCCAAGGCGGGTGGATCACCTGAGGTCAAGAGTTCGAGACCAGCCTGACCAACATGGAGAAACCCCGTCTCTACCAAAAATACAAAAATAGCCAGGCGTGGTGGCACATGCCTGTAATCCCAGCTGCTCGGGAGGCTGAGGCAGGAGAATCACTTGAACCCAGGAGGCGAAGGTTGTGGTGAGCTGAGATCACACCATTGCATTCCAGCCTGGGCAACAAAAGTGAAACTCCGTCTCAAAAAAAAAGAGGTGATGGTTTAAGTAGTTTTTTGGGGGTTTTTTTTTTGTAACTTTATTACAAGAATTTCTGATTTCTATTGTTTTTAATCCCTGCCGTACTCCCCTTCCTAATACTTATTTTCCCATTATGTTCAAATAGAAGTTCTCAATTATTTTGGAGAACTAATGGCAGATCCAGTATTTCATTGTTCCCATTTTATTTGTTTAGAGACACAGGTCTCACTCAGTCACCCAGGTTGGAGTACGGTGTGGTGATTATAGCTCACTGCCGCCTCAAACTCCTGGGCTCAAGCAATTCTCCCCCTTTGGCCTCCCAAAGTAATTAGACCTATTTTTTGTACAGACGGGGTCTCACTTTGTTGACAAGGCTGATCTCAAACTCTTGGGCTCAAGTGATACCTCCTGCCTTGGCCTCCCAAATTGCGGGGGGTTACAGGTGTAAGCCACATCACTTGGCCTGTTTTCATTAGTTTTAACCCTCAGAAAAATGTTGCGGTAAAGCTTCACTTATTTGCCCAGGGCAAACGTAATTGTTAAATTATATTTTGGCCATTCCTCTGGGGATGAAAACTAAAGTCATAACTTCACCAGAAATGGCATATATGTGGCATTGGTGCCACAACTTTCCCCATCCTGGCCCATGGCAGACAGCACCATCAGTCAGCAGTTTTTCTCACTGAGTCCAGACAGCCACACTCAAGCCTGGAGGATTTGGGTTGGGCATTTAAGATTCTCAGAGGCAGGGGATGGAGGTGGAGGGACCAGACTCTTTCTTAGGTAACTAGTTAGGCATTATACCAATGAATCATGGCCAAGACGTGGAGAGCAGTTGAAGACATTTGAATGTTAAAAGATAAGAAATTAGCATGTGAAGTGTTAAATATTTAGTTCTCTCAGTTTTATTTATACAGAAGAAACAGACCAGAAATCAGGAAACTTTGGTGTGGTTTCAGCTCTGGGAGTGGTTCTGGGAAGTCCCCACATATCTTGCAGACTTTAGTTTCAATTGAAACAAATTTGAACTAAATAATAAATATGACTGTAATTCTACAGTTTTACAATTGTAAATATAGACTATATGAAAGACTACACATTTTCAAATTGTGTGTGTATAAGAATATAACTGAGGAAAATAAATTAATAATACTCATTAGCATATAAGTATTGTATAAATTTACACCTGTGGTATGAGCAAAATGAAATTTAATTGTAGAGGAATGATGCCGTGCAACTTTATCTTCAACTTTGAATGAGAAAAGAGACTTTCTTCTTCCCCGTTAATTTCCTACAGTTTAGATTTTATATTTGAAAGGGACTCTAGAAGTCAACAAATTCAACCCTAATTGATGTGTGGAATAGTTTTTTTCTTCATCTTTTTTTTCTCTCTTAGCACCTTCTAGCCACCATGGCAACCTCATCTGAAGAAGTTTTGCTGATTGTAAAGAAAGTGCGTCAAAAGAAGCAGGATGGAGCTCTGTACCTCATGGCAGAAAGAATTGCTTGGGCACCTGAAGGCAAAGATAGATTTACAATCAGCCATATGTATGCAGATATTAAATGTAAGTCAGCTATACTAAGTTCTGATGTATTTGTATGTCATAGTTGCTAGTAATTTTGTAAAGAGATTATATAAATCTTTATTTTATATCAAAAAATCAACTATGTAGAAATAATTACAAAATGGGGTCACTGAATATATACTGTTTTATAACCTGACCTTTTCACTTAATAACAGAACAGGTACAGGTTTACATATAATATGTAAATCTACCTGACATATAGATCTCCACACACTTTAAGAGTTGCATAATACTCCACTAAATGAATATACAATCATGTATTTAACCAGCCCTCTGTGGTTGGACACTTAGGAAGTTTCCAGAATTTTTTTATTGCAGTGTTTGCACTAATATCATTTCAAGGTTGTATGTGTAGGATACATTTCTGCAAAGAATTTCCTGTTTAATAGTTGATGTGTTTTTTTGTGTTATTGTTGGTAGGGACAGAGTCTTGCTGTGTTGCCCAGGCCGGTCTCAAACTCCTGGCCTCAAGCAACACTCCTGCCTCATCCTCTCAAAGTTCTGGGATTATGTTATAGGCATGCACCACCATGCTTGGCCAGGTTTATGCATTTAAAATGCTGATAGATGATGCCAGATTTTCCTTCACTAAAATTGTACCAGTTAGGCAAGTTGTCTGATCTTTGCTTATGTGGCCATCTTCTGTTGAGAAGACTCAACCTTATAGTGAATGTAGGTGGTGGAATCTCTTTTTATAAATTTCAGGCATGGGCTAGGTGCAATGGCTCACACCTGTAATCCCAGAAGTTTGAGAGGCCAAGGCGAGTGGATCACCTGAGATCAGAAGTTTGAGACCAGCCTGCTCAACATGGTGGAACCCCATTTCTACTAAAAATACAAAAATTAAGGGCCGGGCGCGGTGGCTCACGCCTGTAATCCCAGCACTTTGGGAGGCCGAGGTGGGCGGATCACAAGGTCAGGAGATCGAGACCATCCTGGCTAACACAATGAAACCCCATCTCTACTAAACATACAAAAAAATTCTCTGGGCATGGTGGCGGGCGCCTGTAGTCCCAGCTCCTCGGGAGCCTGAGGCAGGAGAATGGCGTGAACTCAAGAGGCGGAGCTTGCAGTGAGCCAAGATCGCGCCACTGCACTCCAGTCTGGGTGCGAGACTCCTTCTCAAAAAAAGACATATATTTCTGAGAGAATGCCCTACAAATTTCTGTTACTAGCTAATAGCCTTAGCTACTAACATTTCTGTAACAATAGACTTATAAATTAGCAGTATTAGCGTCTCTCTCAAATGGGAAGCTAGCCCCATAGCTTTGTGTAATACACACGCACATTGTGATAACCACAGTGTACAATAAACAGTATGCCCATCTCCAATTTCTCTACAATTCTTCTCAGTTATTGGTGAAAGCAGTGCATACCCAAAACTAGATTTGCACCAGAACAGTTTCAAGTTGAATATTTGAAGGAATGCCCACATCTGAAAGAAGCAATTGAAATTGATTTAGTTCTTATCATAGCTGACAAAGTTACAGAAAATTTTAAAGAATGATACAGTGAAAACCTACGTAATATGCCCCACCTAGATATTAGTTATTATTTTGCCATATTTGCTTTATTATTTGTGTGTGCACTTTTATTGCTTGTAATACCATTATCACACTGAAAACATTTTAATAAAAAATAGCCATTGTTACATTTCCATTGGTTGTCTCAGTAATGTTTATAGTTGTGGTTTTTGGTTTATTTTTTTATTTTTTTATTTTAAAAAAAACGGTATCCAATCTAGGTTCCTGTAGTTGTCATTTCTTTAGTCCCTTTCAGGGTATAGCCTTGTCAAATATCAAACATTCTGAATATTTCTGATTGTCTCCTCAAGGTTTTAATTTATTCCTGTATACCTGTATTTTTTATAAGCTAAAAGTCAGATCTAAAGGCTTGAATATATTCAGCTTAAACATTTTGTGCAAGAGTAATAACATACATAGTGACATTCACTTCCTGTTCCATCACCTCAGAAAGCATATAGTGTCAGGTTGTCTCACTTTTAATGAGGCTAAGTTTGATAACTTTATTAAAGTGGTGACACCAGATTTCTCGAATATAAAATTACATATTTCCCTTGCAAAAAGAAATGCCATGGGCCGCATTTTGCAGTCTTTTGGATCATGATAGGTCATTTTTTATTAATGATAATGTTGATTTGGGGCAGTTTGTTTAAAATACATTCAGGAAGCTTTAAAGAGGTCTGCCCTGCCCTAGTTGAATGGTAACAAAAGCCCATTAATATCTGGAGGTAGTAGCAGTGGGTGAGAAGTGCTGCATGACAAGAGTACCAAAGAAGGAAGCAGAGTGTTAGTGAGTTTGATGAGCATGCTCTGGTTGTATGGGATCATTTAAGAAGAGTGCATTCTACAAAAGCATCAGTATTGGAATAGGGCAGTTAAAGCCCAAAGGAATCCTGAATCATCTTGGGAGAAGTAACTTACTGTATGGTTATTCCCACAGTGTGAGTGTCATCATCTAACTGCCCTCATGCTTCTTTTTAGGCCAGAAAATTAGTCCAGAAGGAAAAGCTAAAATTCAGCTTCAGCTGGTCCTACATGCAGGGGACACAACTAACTTCCATTTTTCCAATGAAAGCACAGCAGTGAAAGAGCGAGATGCAGTAAAAGACCTTCTTCAGCAGCTGCTGCCCAAATTCAAGAGGAAAGCAAATAAAGAACTGGAAGAGAAGAACAGGTGGGAGGAAAAGAATAGCCTTTTGAAAGAGATACTGGGTTCTCTATAGTCTCCTAGTATGCTAATAGCTTGTTAGCTATCCCCACGTTTTTTCGGTTTTGGTTTTGGTTTTTTGTTGTTGTCGTTTTTGTTTTTGTTTTGTTTGTTTGTTTGTTTTGGTGGTGGTGGTTTTTTGTTTGTTTGTTTTTGGATTTTTTTGAGACGGAGTTTCGCTCTGTCGCCTAGGCTGGAGTGCAGTGGCACAATCTTGGCTCGCTGCAACCTCCACCTCCCAGGTTCAAGCAATTCTCCTGTCTCAGCCTCCCGAGTAGCTGGGACTACAGGCATGTGCCACCATGCCCGGCTAATTTTTGTAATTTTAATAGAGACAGGGTTTCACCATGTTGGTCAGGCTGGTCTCGAACTTCCTGACCGCCAGTGATCCACCCACCTCAGCCTCCCAAAGTGCTGGGATTACAGGTATGAGCCACCACGCCCGGCCACCTATCCTCACTTTTGCTATGATACTGTAATGTAGGAAAATATGGGCTCTAGTGTCTTTACCTTGGTGTTTAGTTTTCAGCTTTAAAATCTTACTGCTTGTTTGACTTTGGGAAACGAGAATGTGCAAACCCAGAAGCTGAATTAACTGCATCATGCTTAACATCTGCTTAGGAGCAGAACCGGGATTGGAAGGTGCTGAAGTTCCTTAATTTCTTTTCCCAGTTCTCTGTCACAGAGAAGATGCTAAGCCATTGGAAGTATGCTTATGAACAAGAAACCTAAAATAATTCACACTGAAAAAGTGAGACAGTATGTAAAATAATGAGAATTTTTTTTTTTTTTTGAGACAGAATCTTGCTCTGTTGCCCAGGCTGGAGTGCAGTGGCGTGATCTCAGCTCACTGCAACCTCCACCTCCTGGGTTCAAGCAGTTCTCCTGCCTCAGCCTCCCAAGTATCTGGTATCACAGGCACACGCCACCACACTTGGCCAATTTTTCTATTTTTAATACAGGGTTTCACCACGTTGGCCAGGCTGGTCTCAAACTCCTGACCTCAAGTGATCTGCCTGCCTGGGCCTTCCAAAGTGCTGGGATAACAGGTGTGAACCGCCACACCTGGCCACAATTTCCTTATGAATTATTCCATCACCAATATCTTTCAGGCCAGCAGTGCTTATATCTGTGCATGCTTAGCGCCATGAAAAATCCATTGCTGAAGGCGGGGCATAATGGCTCATGCCTGTAGTCTCAGCACTTTTCGAGGCTGAGGTGGGTGGATCACTTGAAGTCAGAAGTTCAAGACCAACCCAGCCAACATGGTGAAACTCCACGTCTACTAAAAAAAATACATATCTATGTATACAAAAATTAGCTGGGTGTAGTGGCGCATACCTGTAATCCAGCAACTTGGGAGGCTGAGTCAGGAAAATCGCATGAATCTGGGAGGCAAAGGCTGCAGTGAGCTGAGATCATGCCAGTGCACTCTAGCCTGGGTGACAGAGCGAGACTCCATCTCAAAAAAGAAAAAAAAAACTTCATTGCTGGAAAATTTCAAGCATACCTCCTTTTCTGCCCATTTACTTCTGTATATGAAAGAGAATACATTCAGCCTTCCATATCCAGGAGTTCTACATCCACAGATTCAACCAACTTTGGATCAGAAGTACTTGGGAAAAAAATAACAGTACGATAATTAAACATAATACAAATAAAAATATAACTATTTACCTTGTATTTGATATTACAAATAGTTATTATTATAAGATTTATAATATAAGATTTAAGTATATGGGAGGATATGTATAGGTTGTATGTAAATACACCATTTTATCTAACGGACTTGAGCATTTTCAGATACCAACAGACAGTACACTGCAGACATGGTGATCTTTGAATCACTGGGATACGGAGATGAATAAGATCAAACCCATGTCCTCAAAGGGTTTAATCTTTCCTTTACACCTACCTCCATTTATCACCACTTCATTTGTTCCTCCAAAAATGTGGGGTATTTTGCTCTTAATTACTGAAAAGTGAACTGAAGGACCTCTGCTGCTCAAACATCACAAAATAAAAGTTGTGTGTTTCAATGTTTTGTGTTGCCAAAATCTTTTTAAAATGTACCTACATGGTGTTTTATTCTAGAAGTTCAGTTATATTCAGTATATTCTGCTTTACAGAATGCTGCAAGAAGATCCTGTTTTGTTTCAGCTTTATAAAGACCTTGTTGTGAGTCAAGTGATCAGTGCTGAGGAATTCTGGGCCAATCGTTTAAATGTGAATGCAACAGATAGTTCTTCCACATCCAATCATAAGCAGGATGTTGGCATTTCTGCTGCATTTCTGGTATGTGAGCCTTCTAGATTTCTGAAGAAAATAAAAATTCAAACCCCAATATGTGTCTTAAGACCATTATTCCTTTTGTAAAACTTAGCATTTCCTTAAAGGAAAGTAATGGAAAATTGAGTATCCATGGTATTCTTCACTATTATTGAACTATTATTATTATGTTTGTTTGTTTGTTTGTTTTTAAAAGACAGGGTCTCACTCTGTCACCCAGACTGGAGTGCAGTGGCACAGTGATAGCTCCCTGCAGCCTCAAACTCCTGGGCTTAAGCGATCCTCCTGCTTCAGCCTCTCAAGTAGCTGGGACTAGAGGTGTGCACCACCTTGCCTGGCTAAATTTTCTTATTTTTATAGGGCGGGGGGCAGCTCTTTTTGTATTTCCCAGGCTGGTCTCAAATCCCTGGCCTCAAGAGTTCCTCCCATCTTAGCCTCCCAAAGCTCTGGGATTACAAGTATGAGCTATCACACTCAGCCCTCTTCCAAAATGTTTTTAAAATACATATAATTTTTTTTAAATTTATATTTCTTTTTACCAGTTATGTTTTCTTGGCCTTTGGACTTGACCCTAGCATGCTGGTAGTCAAATGGAATTTGAAAATGACTCTTTCAGAGTTTGGACTAATACTTACTTTTTCAAATATTTTCAAATGTAGGGCTTTCTGCTGCCTTTTTAAACCTTTGCCATATTTTACTTACAATACAAGGTTAAATGTATCATGACCATATTATAGAAAATGTAAGATTTGTAAACTATATTAGAACAATTGGGAATACCTTATCTGTGGAATTATGGAATGGAATTCAGTCAGTTGGTATTCTAGTGGAACCAGAATAGTATTAACACATTCAACAAAATTTTGAATACTATTTGTATGTTTGGTATCTTTTTTGGATGTTTATTAGTGAAGTGAATTAATAAGGCCTTTCCCAAAGAAGTCAGTCAGTTAATGTTAATTTAATTATTTACTAACCAAGGTTTGTAGTGATTTTTATGACTATACAAGTTTTATCTTAAAGCTCCACTGCCTCTCTGCCTTCATACTTAAACATGCCTATTTGACCATATTAGACTTCCAAAGGAGCAGATTTTATAGGTCACTTAAGACCGTGAGAAACCAGTCAGGCTTTTTTGAGTCCTGCCTCTGTGCAAAAAGTGAAGGTGAGGGACTTTCTCTGTCTATGCAGTTAGTTCAGAAATTTTTTTTTCCACCTTTGTCCAGTGTCCACTGGGACCTGAGCCATCTTTCCCTGATGCTCTAACGTGTATGTGTGTATGGGCTTTGTTTTAGGCTGATGTCCGGCCCCAAACTGATGGCTGTAACGGTCTAAGATATAATTTAACTTCTGATATCATTGAGTCCATATTTAGGACCTATCCAGCAGGTAAGAAGAATCAGTTCTTTCAGATGGTTAAAATATATGGATATATTCTATAGTATATCAGTGAAAAACAAAAAGCTTCAGATTCCTGATCAAGTGCAATAAATTATGTAAAGTACTTTTTACCCAGTGCCTGACATATGGTAGATACTAGGGGCTCAGTAAATAATGTGTTGTCATCAGTTCACTAATATGACTGCCATTCGAGTCTGTCTGTACTACTAACTCAGATCATTCTTCATTCTGCATCCAGAGTGACCTTCCTAACCCACAAATTACTTCCCGTGCAGATGCCATCCTAAAAGTATAGATTCCTTGACCCCAGCCTCAGTGATTTATTATGTGTAGACAAGGATGAGAGCCAGTGTGTCAGTCATTCTTCTGACTAAGCAGTACTCTCTTAAGCTGTATTCTGTTCTCGCTTCCCTCTTCCCCACTCTTACCCCTTTAGTCCCTTAGGAATCTCTCTCTCAGGACTCAGCTCAAGCATCACCTCCTTGCCACCTCTATGAAATCCTGGCCAGTCCCAGTGGCTCACGCCTGTAATCCCAACACTTCAGGAGGCTGAGGCAAGAGGATCCCTTGAAGCAAGGGGTTCAAGACTAGCCTGGGCAACAAAACAAGACCCTATCTCTTTTTTTTTTTTTAATTGAGACAGAGTCTTGCTCTGTCAACCAGGCTGGAGTGCAGTGGCGCGATCTTGGCTCACTGCAACCTCCGCCTCCCAGGCTCAAGTGATTCTACTGCCTCCGCCTCCCAAGTAGCTGGGACTACAGGCACGTGCCACCACGCCAAGCTACTTTTTGTATTTTTTGTAGAGATGGGGTTTCACCCTGTTGGCCAGGCTGGTCTTGAATTCCTGACCTCAAGTGATCTGCCCGCCTCAGCCTCCCAAAGTGCTGAGATTACAGGCTTGAGCCACAGCATCTGGCTCTTTTGTATCTTTCTGATGGTAACATAATTGTGTAGTGTTTATTATGTGCCAGACGCTTTTCTAAGTTCTTTTTCTATAGTAACTGATTTAATCATCACGTAAACCTATGAAGTAGAGGTACTGTTATGACCCTCATTTTACAGATGAGGAAACCAGGGTGCAGAAAGATTAAGTAATTTGCTCAGGGTCACACAGATAGAAAGTGGCAGACCTGGAATTTTAAACTCAGAGCTCAGCAAACAATGCTGTTGAACTCTATGCTTGCTAGTGTGTAAGCCGCTGGAGTGCTGAGCTGACAGTCCAGTGGATATTGAGATCATTATTACCCCACAAGCTAACACAGTGCCTTGGATTGAGAGTGCACATATATAAATGAGCAAACAAGCAGACTCAGCTCTGACTCCTGAGATTCTTGGTATTTCTACTAAAACTTCAAAACCTTATTCTTTTGGTGCAAATAAGGTTTTGTTTGTAATTTGTAAGATTTATAGAGGTCATACCTCACCTAATCTCTCAAGTTACCCTTCATATTTATAATTAGATTATAACTTATAGTATGTAGAGTTGAGAGCTTTATGGTCTAGATTTTGCTATTTGTATTTCAGTTACCTAATTTGAGAGGTTTTAAAAATGGAAATTCAGTATATAATATTTGTGGGTTTTTTTCCACAGTAAAAATGAAATATGCAGAAAATGTTCCCCACAACATGACAGAGAAGGAATTCTGGACACGTTTTTTCCAGTCCCATTATTTTCACAGGGATCGGCTGAATACAGGGTCAAAGGATCTCTTTGCAGAATGTGCCAAAATAGATGAAAAAGGTAACTGTTTATCTCTGATAGACACTGGTATTTAACTTGCCACCCTCTAGACATTATAAGTGTTAATTTCTGAGACAGATAAGACATGCTGAACTTTTTATTTTGTTGATTTTCTAGGCCTAAAAACAATGGTTTCATTAGGAGTGAAAAACCCACTACTAGATTTAACAGCTTTGGAAGATAAACCATTAGATGAGGTAAGAAGCAATAAAAGAAGTTTTGAGAGAAAAGAGTCTTTTCCTAGTCTTCAACATTGTCTTAAGCGTAGTAGACCTATTCCACTTGTGAGAATGTCAAATAAGCAAAATACTGTTACTTGAAGTGATTTATCGGAAGTGCTTTGAAATAGCGTTGTTTGCCATTAAAATTGCCTAGAAGAAATGAAATTCCTGTGTGAGTTGCTAAAACCTTTTAAAAATAAATTTCTAGCTCCCTCATCCGCAGTTCTCTAGTAATAATAAAGGCTTAATGTGATGAGTTCAGCTTTATGCTCTAGCTAACATTTAATCTAAAGAAATATGGATAAATTAATAAATAAGGAAGATAACAAACATTTGTTGATTGCTTACTATCTGCCAAACCTTAAGCACTCTCATGACCCTTATACCATGCCAACCCCAATGTTTCAGCAAGTAGGCCATCATGTATGACCTACCTACCTCAGCATCATGACCCCAGACCTACAGATTTATCTACTTGCAGAGAAAGAGATGGTTCCTGTTGTGATCAAGGATAATTTTATCACTGCCTCTGTCTTCTAGGCCAGAACTTGTCTTCCTCAGTTATTCCCTTTACTCTGAGTTTTCATTTTCTTGCTCTTATTTTTCTTCTTTTTCTGTCTCTTTTTTTTTTTTTTTTTTTTTTTTTTTGAGAAAGAGTTTCACTCTGTTGCCCAGGCTGGAGTGCAGTGGCGCAATCTTGGCTCACTGCAACCTCTGCCTCCCAAGTTAAAGCCATTCTCCTGCCTCAGCCTCCCAAGTAGCTGGAATTACAGGCACGTGCCACCACACCCAGTTAATTTTTGTATTTTTAGTAGAGACAGGGTTTTGCCACGTTGGCCAGGCTGGTCTCAAACTCCTTACCTCAGGTGATCTGCCCACCTTGGCCTCCCAAAGTGCTGGGATTACAGTCATGAGCCACCACGCCCAGCCAGTGTATTTTCAATTTATACTTTGATCATACAGTGAGTTTTTCAGGACATCACCCTTTCAGAAGTGAAGAAGAATCTATACAAACATGGCCCTCTTTAATTATCCTGAGAAAATAAAGCTTAGTGGCGCTTAGACTTACAACTTAGTATGAAAGGAAGACTTTTTTAGTGCTTTTTTTTTCTTTAAAATAAACATGATGGCATATTGTACATGTACATTTGTAACTTTATCTTCTGTTTAGTATCAATAGCTGTATAAACCATCCCATAGTTTAAAACATAGACTTTAAAACCAAACTAGCTGACTTAGATTCTGATATCTTCTAACATTTCTAGGCCCTGTTTGGTTTTTGTTTTGTTTTGTTTTGTTCTGTTTTTTGAGATGGGATCTCACTCTGTTGCCCAGGCTGGAGTACAGTGGCCTGAGCTCGGCTCACTGCAACCTCTACCTCCTGGGTTCAAGCGATTCTCCTGCCTCAGGCTCCCGAGTAGCTGAGATCACAGGCACATGCCACCACGCCAGGCTAATTTTTGTATTTTTAGTACAGGCGGGGTTTCATCATGTTGGCCGGGCTGATCTTGAACTCCTGACCTCAGGTGGTCCACCCACCTCGGCCTCCCAAAGTGCAGGGATTACAGATGTGAGCCACTGTGCCCGGCCCAAGCCCAGTTTTTTTGTTTTTGTTTTTGTTTTCCTTAGTGAGGCTAATAGTACTTGCCTTATAGGATTTCTATGAGTTAAAAGAGCCTAGTGCGTAATAAGTAGTAGGTAATAGGCATTATTGTTGTTATCTGTATTTTTAGATGCCTGCATAGTATTCCATTGGTATGGGTATATCAACATTTATATAACCAATCTTTTTACTACAAATATTGGTTGATGCCATTTTTCATTTGGTGTTCCTTCTTTCCTTCTCAATCTTCTGGTTATAGTAACTATCACAGGCTATGATCTATGGCCTCCTGAATGCATTCTCTCTATTCCATTGCTTTACTAGATATGGGGAACAGGGGAGGGAGTAAAAATAAAAATAAAAACATTCTTGTTACATAATGATGAATCCTGAATAACCATAGTCTGTCTTTGACTGCAGAGCTCTAGCTGCCTACTTGACATCTCCTCTCAGGTATTTCAAAGACATCTCAACTTCACATGTAAAATGGAATCTTTGATTCCCATCCTCATAAACGTATCTCCATGGGTATTCCCTCTCTTAGTAAAAAGCATTACAATTTGCTCAAGCCAAAAACCTGGGAGTCGGCGAGTCTCCTTGATTCTTCCTCTTCTTTTTTATGACGGGCTCACTCTGTTGCCCAGGCTGGAGTGCAGTGGCACAATCATGGCTCACTGCAATCTTGACCTCTTGGGCTCAAGCAATCTGCCTTAGGCTCCTGAGTAGCTGGGACTGTAGCACAGGCTACCACACCTGGCTAATTTTATTTTTTGTAGAGACAGGGTCTCCCTATATTTCCCAGGCTGGTCTGAACTCCTGGGCTCAAGCTATTTTTCCACCTCGGCCTCCTAAAGTGCTGAGATTACAGGCGTGAACCATTGCAGCCAGCCATGTTTTCCTCCTGTTATGTCCAGCATTCAGTGTATCAACAAGCCTCGTACAATACACCTCTCATCTGTGGGATCTACACAAACGCTTACACCCTTTCATGTTTACGGTATCATCATCTTTGGCCTGTTTGCTTGCCTTAGCCTTCTAACCTTTATTTTTGCTATCTTGTCTTTTATAGTTTATTCTCCCCTAGCAGTAATAATTATAATATAGGCCGGGCGTGGTGGCTCGTGCCTGTGATCGAGCACTTTGGGACGCCAAGGTGGGTGGATCACCTGAGGTCAGGAGTTTGAGACCAGCCTGGCCAACATGGTGAAACCCCATCTCCACTAAAAATACAAAAATTAGCCGGGCCTGGCGGCACATGCCTGTAATTCCAGCTACCCAGGAGGCTGAGGCAGGAGAGTCGCTGGAACCGGGGAGGCAGAGGCTGCAGTGAGCTAAGATTGCACCACTGCACTCCTGCCTGAGTGACAGAGTGAGACTGTCTCAAAAAAAAAAAAAAAAAAAAGGATTATAATATAAATCAGATCCTAATAATCCCCTATGTGAATCTCTTCATTATCTTCTCATTGAGCTTAGAATAAAATCAAAACTCCTACAAGACTGCTAGATTTGGCTCCTGCATACTTCTCAGTTGGGGCCACTTCTACTCATTCATGCTTTAGACATAATGACCATTCACTTCCATGCCACGCTTTTTCTACCTCAGGGCCTATGCACTTAACTGATCTTCTACCTGCTTGTTCCCTAACCAGCTTCTGCCTATCTTTAGATACCTGTTCTAATGTCATTTCTCGCCAGGTGGGGTGGCTCATGCCTTTAATCCTAGCACTTTGGGAGGCTGAGGTGGGAGGATCGTTTGAGTCCATTGTGAGACCACATCTCTAAACTTTTTTTTTTTTTAATTTAAAAATTAGCTGGGCATAGTGGTATACACTTGCAGTCCCAGCTACTCGGGAGGCTAAGGTAGGAGGATCACTTGAGCCCAGGAGGTCAAGGCTGCAGTGAACTGCGATTGCACCACTGCACTCCAGCCTGGGCAACAGAGCGAGAACCTGTCTCAAAAAAAAATAAAAATATAAATTTAAAAATTAAAAATTAAAAAGTTGCGTGCTTCAGAGAGGCTTTCTCTAACCACCCACAAATTCAGTCACTTCATCATGTTACCCTCTGTTTTATTCAATGACATTTTCCACTTTCAAAAAATATTGTGTTTACCTTGTTTTACTTGATAATTGCATTCACACTCCTCTCAGAGTGTAATCTTCATGAAGCTGACTTTGTTCTGTTTATTGGCCTGTTCCTAGCGCATGTCATGTAGTAATAATCACTTAGTAATTATTTGATACATTGATGAACAGCATATGGATCTTTTTTTTTTTTTTTTTGAGATGGAGTCGTGCCCTTTTGCCCAGGCTGGAGTTCAGTGGCGTGATCTCAGCTCACTGCAATCTCTGCCTCCCGAGTTCAAGCACTTCTCCTCCCTCAGCTTCCTGAGTAGGTGGGATCATAGGCACACACCACGCCCAGCTAATTTTTGTATTTTTAGTACAGGGTTTCACCACGACCAGACTGGTCTTGAATTCCCAACCTCAGGTGACCCACCCACCTCAGCCTCCCAAAGTGGTGGGATTACAGGCGTGAGCCACCACACCCAGCACATATGAGTTTTTTTTTTTTTGAGACGGAGTCTTGCTGTCACCCAGGCTAGAGTGCAGTAGCACCATCTCGGCTCACTGCAGGCTCTGCCCCCTGGGGTTCATGCCATTCTCCTGCCTCAGCCTCCTGAGTAGCTGGGACTACAGGCGTCCGCCACCTCGCCCGGCTAATTTTTTGTATTTTTAGTACGGAAAGGATTTCACCGTGTTAGCCAGGATGGCCTCGATCTCCTGACCTCATGATCCACCCGCCTCAGCCTCCCAAAGTGTTGGGATTACAGGCGTAAGCCACCACGCCTGGCCCATATGAGTCTCATGATCTTTCTTTCACCTTTTTAGCCTCACCAATTCCTGGACCACCGTTATTAGTGTATTGAACCATATACAGTCTCATGACACAATATGTACTACATTGCTGCTTTGCTTGTGTTTTGTTTTATTTTTAAATAGAGACAAGGTCTCACTGTGTTGCCAGGCTGGACTTGAACTCTTCGGCTCAACAGTTCTTCTGCCTCAACCTCCCAAATAATCAGGACCACAGTGCCTCTTTGCCTTTGTTTAAGCAGTTTCCTCTCCCTGAAATGTTATTGTCTCCGATCTACTTGGCAAGCACCAGTTTATCTTATGGTTCTCTGTGAACCTTTTTCGAACCCTCTTCTCCAGTAGGATTGATTAGTAATTCTCTCCAGCCCAGCTTCCCACTAACTAGTATTTAAGCTCCTATGGCATGGGGTCTTAATCAATTTTGTATCTACATGGTCTAGCAAGTAGCGTGCACTCAATACATGTTTTAAAATATAATCTCATTTTATTCTCTTTTATCCTACTTTATAGAGCTTGGAAAAGTTTATCTTGCCTAGATTAACGTTAGAAAAAGAATTTGACTCTTTATCTTTCTGAATCCATAGTCAGTGTTTTTCTCACTATATTCTATTCTTTTTATTTACTTTTTTTTTTTTTTTTTTTTTTGAGACAGTCTCACTCTGTCACCCAGGCTGGAGTGCAGTGGTGCAATCTCAGCTCACTGCCACCTCTGCCTCCTGGGTTCAAGTGATTCTCCTGCCTCACTCAGCCTCCCCAACAGCTGGGATTACAGGTGTGTGCCACCATACCTGGCTAATTTTTGTATTTTTGATAGAGATGAGGTTTCACCATGTTGGCCGGGCTAGTTTTGAACTCCTGACCTCAGGTGACTCGCCCACCTTGGCCTCCCAGAGTGCTGGGATTACAGGTATCCTGACTCTATTGCTTTTATTTAACGTTTTGATAACTAGATCCAAATTGTTCTTTAAAAGAGAAATGCAGACCACGCACGGTGGCTCACACCTGTAATCCCAGCACTTTGGGAGGCCAAGGTGGGCGGATCACTTGAGGTCAGGAGTTCAAGACCAGTCTGACCAGCATGGTGAAACCCCATCTCTACTAAAAATACAAAATATTAGCCGGGCGTGGTGGCAGGCGCCTGTAATCCCAGCTTCTCAGGAGGCTGAGGCAAGAGAATCACTTGAATGCAGGAGGCGAAGGTTGCACTCCAGCCTGAGCAACAGAGCGGGACTCCATCTCAAAAACAGAGAGAAATTCAGTTTAAGATGTATTTTGTAATGCTAAAACGAGTTAGTGCTATTTGTTAATCTTTTATGTGCATAATGTCACTTGTTTTTAAATGTTTGTTCATAAATATTTAATGTTCGTGAGAAGTAATAAAAGTCCCATCATCCAGCAAATTTTTTCAGCTAAGCGTGTCTTATAATAAGAAAAGCAGAACCTTTTTAAAAAATTTTTAATCTATTATTTCTCACAGGGCTATGGCATTTCCTCTGTGCCATCTGCTTCCAATTCTAAATCCATAAAAGAGAATAGTAATGCTGCCATCATCAAGAGATTTAACCATCACAGTGCCATGGTCCTGGCAGCTGGACTCAGAAAACAGTTAAGTATAAATGCAGAGGTGCAGTAACTGGGCTTTTCAGGATATCCAGATGGAGTTGTGGTGTTGTTTTGCTTGTGGTTTTTAACGTTAACTTTTTTTTCCCCTTTATTTTAAGAGAAGCACAAAATGAACAAACTAGTGAGCCCAGCAACATGGATGGAAATTCCGGAGATGCAGACTGCTTTCAGCCAGCAGTCAAAAGGGTATGGGCAAAAAAATATGAACCATTTGGGGCTCAAGTTTCTCCAAATACTTTATGTGACTGCAAGTACTGTATACGCTTATTTCCTGTGACTCAGTTCTTCTAACTAAGATGTTAAGCATTTGGCTTAAAGTGTATAGCATTACAAAGAGTATTTCCCCAGCTTTGGCTTGCCAGCCAACTTTCCATTGACTCTAGCCTGTTAGCCATTTTTATTGTTTTTTGTTTGTTTGTTTGTTTGTTTTCCTCACATGTACACATACATACAGATTGTTCTTATATGTGATTTTGTTCTCTGGGAATAAAATCTTCATTCAACAGAGGCAATATGACAGAAAAACCGAAGTTTCATGTATATGATTTTTCAAAGAAAGTGAATTGGCCCTCATGTTAAACCTAGCATTTCAGAGCTGAAAGTGTCTTCTCATTAAATATTGAAGAAATCATTTGAGGGTGTGGAGAAGGATGGACAGAATTAGCTGCTTGTGTATTTATTCTTCTCCTGCAACTTTGCCACGCTATTTTGTACCTCCCTTCCTAATTATGATAAAGCTTTCTTAGAGAGCAGTCAGGCAATGTGTATTAAATGTTTAAAGCTTTACACCCTTAGTTCTACTTGTGGACATTTATTTCTTAAGAAAGATGTATACTAAGATTTAGATAGAAATATTCATTACAGTATCATAATAAAGACAGTAGCAAGGATTCTGTTATCTGTGTTGCATTAATACAATAGAGATTGATGCAACTGTTCATTATTTTGAAAGCATTAATGATAATATTGCATCAAAGAGTTCACTGAACAGATTGTACAGTACAGTTTTACACACAAAAAAAATAGTTTGTGAGCTTTAAAAGGGCCTTCAAATGAATATGCTAAACGGTTATCTTTCAATAAAGAGAGTATGGGTAAGTCTTAATTTCTTTCATTTATTTCAGTAATTTAATGTTTTTGTTGTTGTTATTGTTTGTTTTTTTGAGACAGAGTCTTGCTCTGTCACCCAGGCTGGAGTGCAGTGGTGCAATCTCAGCTCACTGCAATCTCGGCTCACTGCAACGTCTGCCTCCTGGATTCAAGCAATTCTTCTGCCTCAGCCTCCGGAGTAGCTGGGATTACAGGCGTGCACCACCATACCTAGCTAATTTTTGTATTTTTAGTAGAGACGGAGTTTTGCCATATTGGCCAGGCTGGTGTTGAACTCCTGGCCTCATGTGATCCGCCCATCTCAGCCTCCCAAAGTGCTGGGGTTACAGGCATGAGCCACTGTGCCAGCCTATTTCAGTAACTTAATGTTTTTACAGGCATGTATTACCTATAAAATTAATAAAGCCAGTGAGGTATTTCTTTTTTGAACTAAAGCAAAGCTAATAATAAGTTATAGAGAAGTTAGAGAAGAAATCTATTAAGTGATACTTTCTTTGTATACTGTTGGGCTGAGTACCCTTGATTCTTGGTGGTGAACAAGTTATCAGAAATTTCTTGGCCAGGAGCCGTGGCTCACACCTGTAGTCCCAGCACTTTGGGAGTCCAAGGTGGGTGGATCACTTGAGGTCAGAATTTCTAGATCAGCCTGGCCAGCATGGTGAAACCCTGTCTCTATTAAAAATACAGAAATTAGCCAGGCATGGTGACGTGCGCCTGTAATTCCAGCTACCTGGGAGGCTGAGGCAGCAAAATCACTTGAACCTGGCAGGCGGAGTTCGCAGTGAGCTGGGATCGCGTCGCTGCACTCCAGCCTGGATGACAGAGCAAGACTCCATCTCAAAGAAAAAATAAAAAAGAAATTTATTTACTTGTGTGAATTTTTACAATACAGATGCTTCTCGACTTAAATGGGGCTACATCCCAATAAACTCATAAGTTGCAAATACTGTAAATCAAAAATGCATTGAATACACCTAATGTATGGAACACCATAGTTTAGCCTATCCTACTTTAAATGTGTTCCGAACACTTAGATTAGCCTGTAGTTGGGCAGCATTACCTACTATAAAGTGTATTTTCTAATAAAATGTTGAATATCTCATGTAACTCATTGAATACTGAAAGTGAAAAACAATGTATGGGTACTCAAAATATGGTTTCTCTACTGAATGTGAATCACTTTGACACCATCATAAAGTTGAAAAATTCCAAGTCAAACCATTGTAAGTCAGGGGCTATCAGTATTCAGTGGTAAATGCTGGCTCTAACTATTCTTCCAAGTCAGTGGTTGACTGCTGTTTATTCTATAAAGGGTTACAATTTATAGATTCTCTCACTTGTAGAATGAGAGATTCAGAATTAATAGCAGACAGAGTCCCTACCTTGATGGAGCTTTCATTTAAGTGTGAAAGTCAGGTGACCTAACAAGGCCTTGGCATAAGTTTAGGATTTGGATTGTTATGGGAGCTTGGGTAGGGACATGTCATAGGTAAGGCAACAGCAGGGGTAGAGATAAGCTTGACATATGTCAAAAATCATGAAGACATCAGTAATCCTTGAAGTTGGCTGAAAGGTATAGAGTTGAGAAAGTAGTTAAAAAAAAAAAAGTCAGGCTGAGTCTAGGTAAGGATGTGTTTCTCTGAGGTCAGATTTGTTCCTGTACCATAAAGGGACTATTTAGAATCTTAAAGCTGGAGCAATTTAAAACGTTAAGTTTTCAGATTGAGGTCAGATTTGTGACTTCATGTGAGGTCAGATTTGTTCCTGTACCATAAAGGGACTATTTAGAATCTTAAAGCTGGAGCAATTTAAAACGTTAAGTTTTCAGATTGACGTTTTTTGAGGTATAGTTAATAACCTGAATGTTCTGATTCTAGTCTTGGTAGTCAATAAGAGTTGACCAGATGAATTTCATAGCTTTGTAGAGGATGAAATATTTCAAGGCTGATTTGCACAAATGTTTACATAGATCATGTATCTTTCATAAGTAATATGTTTGTATTATTACAAGGCTGTAAAAATTTAAGCAGGTTGTTAATAGCACAGGGGGTAACAGATTAATAAAATTAATGAATAAAATTACTAAAAGAGTCCAGAAGTAAACCCAAATACGTGGAGGAATTAAGCATATGTATGATACACATGACATTTTAAAAATCAGTGGGAAAAGGTAAATTATTTTACAAATGGTGTTAGAAGCACTGATTGATAATTTTGTTAAAAGAAACTTAGATTCCCTATTTTACTCCTAATCCAAAATAAATTCTGAGTGGATCTAAGATTAAGCAAAAATTAAGCCGGAAGCTGAGCATGGTAGCATGTGTCTGTAATCTCCGCAATTTAGGAGACTGAGTTTGGCTGGGGAGGTGGTGATATGCGCCTAGAAAAAAAAAATTTTTTAAGCCACAGATGTATAAGCAAAAAGCGGGCAAAGAGGCGGAATTTTTTTTTTTTTTTTTGATGAAGTCTCACTTGTCGCCCAGGCTGGAACGCAGTGGCGTGATCTCAGCTCACTGCAACCTCTGCCTCCCGGGTTCAAGCGATTCTCCTGCCTCAGCCTCCCAAGTAGCTGGGATTACAGGCACCTGCCGAGGAGAGGATTTTTTTATAATTAAAACAAAACAAAACAAAAAAACACCAAACTGGAAGATAAAGTATTTACAACATGTAAAAGACTGTTTCCTTAATATTTAAAAGTCTTATTTTTTAAAAAGTACCCAATATAAAAATAGTGGAGAGCATAACAGATCATTCATTTGGGGAAAAAATAATAAAATGTAAACTTTCACCTACCAGATTGGCAAAAGTAAAAAGTTCAATAATACTTCATGTGGTCAGAGTGTAAGAAAACTAGTATTCTTAAGTAGTTGTTGAGAAAATTGGTTCAGCCATTTGTAGGACAGTCATCTCTAGGAAGAGAAGCTCATGGTGGGAAGACTTCATTTTTTACCCTCTGTACAGTTTTGTTTTTTCAGTCATGTTTATTGTGTAAGAGAAAGTTGTGACAAAATAAAAAGTACTGTGTTAATAATTATAGGCGAAATTACAAGAGTCCATTGAATATGAAGACTTGGGGAAAAATAATTCTGTAAAAACGATTGCACTAAACCTCAAGAAGTCAGATAGGTAAGTTTGGTCAATATTAAGCAGAATAGCTATGTAACAATTCAGTCCAAAATATATCCTACAAGTATAGCACTCATGTTTTAATCAGTTCGTCACCATCAAAGTACAATATCCTTTTCTGTTTAAAATTTAGGCTTCTCAGGAAGCAAAAATGATCAAACCCATGACAATAAATGTGGATCTTTCTGCTGTTGCTTTCTTATTGCCCTTATGGGAATTAAATTATTTTATTGAAATCTCTTTACTTATCGTTTCTTGCCTTGAGGGGAACTTAGTACTGACTGCTAAAATGTTGCAAAGACAAATGTTGAGCATCTTTACTGTGTGTGATTAGTAATTTCTTCTGTGCTAACCTGCAGGTATTATCATGGTCCAACTCCAATCCAGTCACTACAGTATGCAACAAGTCAGGACATTATTAATTCTTTTCAAAGTATTAGACAAGAAATGGAAGCTTATACACCCAAGTTAACTCAGGTAGGTGACTTCTACTGTTTGAAGGCCAGAATTCCCATAGTTCCTTCCTCAGTTTATGAGCACAAGCAGATTGAACCATACAACTAATATTTTAATTGGGCTTAAAGACATAGTTCTGCTAAATAAATTGAAAAAATCAAGAGGTAGCAAGAAAAGGTGTTTGGCATATTCAAGAGGCATCTGAAGATAAGATGATAATGAAAAAAAATAAGTTGATGAATTTTGTGATTTTTACTTCCATATACTTTTATTGGGAAAATCTCCCAGGTTTCCAAATTCTGTCTGGACATTATTCTCTGAATATTCTGCATGACTCAGGCTTAAAATATGTAAAACAGCTCATCATTGTTCTTTGTTTCTCTTCGTACTTCAGTTGATCAGCAATTTGTCAGTTCTGCCTTCAATAATACTTCTTGATTCTATCACCCTTATTTAGGCAAACCTGATTGATTTTCCATAATGCTACTGCAAGTTGTCTTTCTAAAATCACTTATTTTGGCCGGGCACAGTGGCTCACGCCTGTAATCCCAATACTTTGGGAGGCCGAGGTGGGTGGATCACGTGAGGTCAGAAGTTCGAGACCAGCCTGACCAACATGGTGAAACCCGTCTGTACTAAAAATTTAAAAATTAACTGGGCGTGGTGGCACACACCTGTAATCCCAGCTACTCAAGACGCTGAGGCAGGAGAATCACTTGAACCTGGAAGGCAGAGGTTACAGTGAGCTGACACCGCGCCATTGCACTCCAGCCTGGGCGACAAGAGCGAAGCTCCATCTCAAATAGATAGATAAATATTTAAATATTTAAAAATAAAAACATGTATTTTATCACTGCGGCTTGAAAACCTTCACTGCCTCCCTTCACTGCAGTAGTCTGAGTGCCTTTGTCTGGCCTGCAAAACTCTTTATAGTCTGGCCCCAGCCCACTACTCGAGTCTCATCTTCAGCGATAGTCTCCGCTACTCCCTTCCACACATGGCCAAGGGTTCCAGCCTAACACACTAAGCTGTCCAGAATCTTTTGATCACATTATCTCCTTCATGCTTCCTGTGCTTCGGCTTATGCTCTTTCTCTTTAGAATTCCCTTAGCCCTGTTTCTCCCCCAAGGAACTAATAATTACTCAAGACTCAGCTCCAGTTTCATTGCCTCTGGAAAGTAATCCTTAACTAGTGCAAAGAAGAATTTGTTTTTTCCTTTTCTCCGTTTTTATGAGCACTGAGGCACTGAGTGTATACCTATATTACGTTATTTATCACACATCAAGACTTACTTTTTTACTTTTTATTTTGAAATCTCAGATTTTACAGAAAGTGACAGAAAAATATGTTTTCCAACCCATTTTGAGAGAAGGTTACAGGCATAATTTCCCTTTACCCCTAAATATTTCGATGTATATTTTCAAAAAACTAAGACATTCTCTTAAATAACAGTACAATTATAGAATTAGTAAGTTAACATTGATGATGTGTTATCTAGTCTATATATCTTACTACATTTTCACCAGTTATACCACTAATGTTCTACATAGCAAAAGAAAGCTTTTCTTGGTCCAGCAGACAAGCTGGGTTTATGAGTTGTATTTATTTCTCATGTGTTTTTAGTCTCCTTTAAAATGGAATGATTTGTCAATCTTTGTCTTTTCATAACTTTGACATTGAAAGAGTACTGGGCAATTTTTTGTAGAATGACCTTAAATTTACCTAATGTTTCCTCATGACTAGATTCACATTAGGCATTTTTGCCAGAAACTCCACAGAAGTAATGTTGTATCCTACTCAGTGTGTCATATCAGGAGGCAAATGATTTGTATATATCCTAGCTTGTGATATTAAATTTTTTCACTTGGTTAAAGGTAGTATTTGCCTGGTTTCTCCACCAAAAAGTTAACTATTTTTCCCTTTGTAATTAATACATATCTTGTGGAGCTGTACTTTGAGACTATATAAATACCCCATTTGTCACCAAATTTTTTATTTTTATTTTTTAATATTATTATCTTTAGAGACAGGGTCTTGCTCTGATGCCCAGGCTGTAGTGCAGTGGCACAGTCATAGCTCCGTTCAACCTCAGACTCCTAGACTCAAGCAATCCTCCTGCCTCAGCCTTCTGAGTAGCTGGGATTATAGGCATGTGTCACCACACAACAAACTTACATCTGGTAGTTTTTTTAGAATCACTGATGATTCTTGCCTGGAAGAGCAGTTGTTAAATGATGATTTTCTAATTCCATCAGCCCTTCTATGTATATCAGCTGACATGAAAGGAAGAGCATTCCCTTCTCCTCTGTTTGTTATTTATATCAGCATGGATTCATTTATGAGTTAAACACTGTTGCTATCTTTTTTTCTTTGTTTCTTTTTGTTTTTGTTTTTGTTTTTGAGATGGGGTCTCACTCTGTCACCCAGGCTGAAGTGCAGTGGCATGATCTCGGCCCACTGCAACCTCCACCTCCCTGGCTCAAGCGATCCTCCCACCTCAGCCCCCCAAGTAGCTGAAACCACAGGCACTCACCACCATGCCTGGCAAAGTTTTTGTATTTTTGGTAGAGACAGGGTTTTGCCATGTTGCCCAGGCTGGTCTTTAACTCCTGAGCTCAAGCAATCCACTCGCCTCGGCCTCCCAAAGTGCTGAGATTACAGGCCGTTTTTTTCTTTTTCCTTTTTTTTAAAATTTTTTTAATTTTTCTTTATTTTTTTTTTATTTTTATTTTGTGAGACGGAGTCTTGCTCTGTTGCCCAGGCTGGAGTGCAGTGGCATGATCCCCACTCACTGCAAGCTCCGCCTCCCAGGTTCACGCCATTCTCCTGCCTCAGCCTCTGGAGTAGCTGGGACTATAGGCGCCCGCCACCACGCCTGGCTAATTTTTTTGTATTTTTAGTAGCAACGGGGTTTCACCGTGTTAGCCAGGATGGTCTCGATCTCCTGACCTCGTGATCCACCCGCCTCAGCCTCCCAAAGTGCTGGGATTACAGGCGTGAGCCACCACGCCCAGCCTTTTTTCTTTTTATTAACCAAGGTACAACTTAACATACAGTAAAATAAATAAATAAATTTACTTATTTATTTATTTATTTCGAGACAGGGTCTCACTTTGTCCCCCAGGCTGGAGTGTAGTGGCACAATCTCGGCTCACTGCAGCCTTGACTTCCCAGGTTCAAGCAATCCTCTCACCTCAGCCCTCCAAGTAACTAAGTAGCTGGGACTCCAGGCATGTGTCACCATCCCTGGCTAATTTTTATATTTTTGTGTGTAGACAGGGTTTCACCACGTTGCCCAGGCTGGTCTCGAACTCCTGAGCTCAAGCGATCCACCTGCCTCAGCCTCCCAAAATGAAATTTATCTTTTTAAGTCTGCTATTCTACAAGTTTTGATAAACACATGCTGTTGTGTAGCCACCAACAAAATCAAGATTTTAAAAAACCGGTTCTGTCACCCCAGAAAGTCTACCCATGCCCCTTTACAGTCAAACCCTTCCTACCCACTTCACACAGGCTCTCCTGTGTCTTTCTGACAATATCCCCGTCATTCTTAGCCCCTCCTTACTGAATGGTATAGTAAGATAGATGTTCCAGGCTTATCTTACATCTGCCCTGTCCCAGGCGTGGAATTTTCTTTTTAGCACTGAGTGGATCAAGGTAGGAACCAAGATCTGGGACCGGGCACAGTGACTCACACCTATAGTCCCAGCACTTTGGGAGGCCGAGGCACGCAGATCACTTGAGAGCTCTAGACCACCCTGGCCAACATGGCAAAACCCCGTCTCTACCAAAAATACAAAAATTAACTGGGTATGGTGGTGCGTACCTGTAGTCTCAGCTACTCGGGAGGCTGAGGCAGAAGAATTGCTTGAGCCTGGGAGGCGGAGGTTGCAGTGAGCCGAGATCGCACCACTGCACTCCAGCCTGGGCAATAGAGTGAGACTCTGTCTCAAAAAAAAAAAAAAAAAAAAATCTGGGCACTAGGTATACATTGGGGTGTCATTGTCCCTTCAGCAGAAAGCTAGAAAATACATATGTGTACATAAATGCACACATAACCAACCTGGGATTATTTGACCAATTCTTTCAATGTAGACTATAGTTGTCCAGTATCTGGCCCTTGGGCCCGAGTAGACCCACATAACTTTTGTCTTGGGGGTGGTGGTGTTTGTTTGATTTAGAGGTGAGGTTTCTGTCACCCAGACTGGAGTGCAGTAGCACTATCATAGCTTACTGCAACCTTGAACTCCTGGGCTCAGGCGATGCTCCCACCTCAGCCTCCTGAGTCACTAGGATTATAATTGTAAGCCACCATGCCCAGCTCTCCCCATGTAATTTTTTTACACTGTAGTCAATCTTTGTTTTTTTTTTTTTTTTTTTGCAGTCAGGGTCTTGCTTTGTTGCCCAGGCTGGAGTGCAGTGACACCATCTCAGCTCACTGCAGCCTCAACTTCCCCAGGCTCAAATGATCTTCTCATCTCAGCCTCCCAAGTAGCTAGGACTACAGGCATGCACCACCATGCCCAACTAATTTTTTTGTATTTTTTGTAGAGACAGGGTTTCACCATATTGCCCAGGCTGGTATCTGACAAAAGGAAAATAGGAATAAAGTGAGCTCCAATGTCCCCTTCACTCATGGTTGTCCCATACTGTACTTTTACACTAAGTTGAAAAAATGTTTTCATCCAATCTATACATGGATGGATTTCTACTCATAAAAACTTCATTGGAAAATCTTAGAGATGCTAACCCTGCACTTGCTGTTTCACAAATTATTTGTTCCTCCCTATAGCAGTGCCTCCCTACAGTACCTGGCACTTGATAGGCACTCATCGAATAGATAGGTCAATTTTTTCCTAAATGTTGATGTTGATACAGTGGGGAGTATATTTTTCCCCCTTTTGGCTATATTTATTCACTTCCTTGAAAATTAAATGACAGTTAATAAATTTCTGCTCTTTATTTTTTTTTCCCCCACTCTGTTATCAAGGGTATATGTTAGCAAAGCCAGGTGCGGAGTACACACCTGTAGTCTGTCCCAGCTACTCAGGAGGCTGAGGGAGGAGGATTGCTTGAGCCCAGGAGTTCAAGTTCAGCCTGGGCAACATAACAAGATTTTGTTTCTTAGAAAAATAAATTTAACAGAAACAAAGGATACAGGTTAACATGTTGTTTTACCTGTTTTCTTTCCTTAAACTCAATTTTACCTTCAGTGGTAAGAGTTCTCATATTAAATTGAATTGGTACTTAAGAAAGGGCTTTAACTAGGCAAAACCTTGGGAGTTTTGAGGTCCCTGTGGACTTGCCTGGCATGCCTGGGAGATTTGTAGGTATCTTCTTTCTACACGGATTGTGTTTCTGCCCTCAAGGAAAATAGTTCACTTTGACCACTGTAAATGATGTAGTATTTAAACA
The DNA here is from genome assembly GCF_000001405.40 of Homo sapiens. Lineage (NCBI taxonomy): Eukaryota > Metazoa > Chordata > Mammalia > Primates > Hominidae > Homo > Homo sapiens. The sequence continues at coordinate 106,668 of NW_021160006.1, forward strand.
AAAGGAAAAGCACTTCATTGTCTGCTCTAAAACTAAAATGTTAAGAAAGAGAGGTGGCAAAAAAAAAAAAGGGAGGAAAACCAGTTTTAATGCATCTTCATTTTTTTCAGGTTCTCTCAAGTAGTGCTGCCAGTAGTACCATCACAGCACTGTCACCTGGAGGGGCACTTATGCAGGGAGGAACACAGCAAGCCATAAACCGTATGTGCCGGGCCATCTTCTACTACTTTCTGCCTAAATCAGCTTTAAAAAGCAAGCTGGGAGGAGTGCTGAACTTTTATTGGTTTTTCCTTGGAATAATCCTGGGATTTCTATTTTGTAGATTTGTTTTTATACATTCAGATTCTGAAACACATCTAGACAAGATCTTAGGTTTCAGAACCGTCTTACTATTACAAATAGTGGTACATTGCTAGTTTCTCTAATATCATAGTAAAAGCTCCTTTCTTCTCCCCTACCTCTTAGAATAAAGGGGAAACCTGAAAGTTTCTTTGAAATCCCAAGAGCTTTTAAATTTTATGATCTCTCAGCCACAAAATTACTAACTTATCTGAAAATAGCACATCCTGGTTTGGCATTGACAAAGAGTACACATTCAAATTTATTCTCTGAGTGGTCATTTTTTTCGAGACTGTATATGTTAAAATAGCTCTTAACCTATGGGCCTTGTTCTTCTTTTGCAGAGATGGTGCCAAATGATATTCAATCTGAATTGAAACACTTATATGTAGCTGTTGGAGAACTTCTACGACATTTCTGGTCCTGCTTTCCTGTTAATACGCCATTCCTAGAAGAAAAGGTTAGAACCAGTTCTGAAGACAGCCAGATAATTGTGGTAGTGACTTACAAGAAGTTTTGAAATTGGAAAGTTTTATTGAGTCTTACCATGTGACAGACACTGGGATAACTCTTTTGCATACATCGTTTCATGTAAACCTCACAGCATCTTTATGGAGTAGCTATTGGTACCCATTTTATAGATTTGGAAACTGAGATCCAGACGAGTTCCATAACTAATAATCATACAACTTAAAACTTGTATCTACCTCCAAGCCACTGTGAATAGAGACCCAAAACAAATTACATCAATAAAGTTATTTATATTTGATACGTTTTTCAGGGATAACAAAATCCAAAATAAGAACTGACAACAAATATAGCACTAGCTTTTTAACACTAAAACCGCTTTAACCAATTAAAGGACAGTTGACAAATGAAAAATGTAACATTAATAGTAATACTATAAATTGCTTTCATAAACTATGATTAAGTAAAAGATAAAGACCTCATTAAGCACAATAGGCAAACACTTTACAAGCAACTCACTAAAGAATGGAGTGGCCTAGGAAGATTAAGGGGAAATGCTCACACTTACCAGTATGCAGATAAATTACAGCTACAGTAAAAGAACATTTTGGCCAAGCACGGTGGCTCACACCTGTAATCCCAACACTTTGGCGGGGCTGAGGCGGGAGAATTGTTTGAGCCCAGGAGTTGGAGACCAGCCTGGACAACATAGCAAGACTCTGTCTCCAAAAAATACATAAATAAATTTTTTAAAAGAATATTTTTTTCACCTACTAATTTGCAGAAGAACAAAAATCTTAAAATGATCAATGTTGACCAAGTAGCCAAGAGTCCTTTCTTCCACTGCTAGTGTTTTTTTAGATGCTTTTACTTCAGCATTCAAATGAAACTTCAAATGAAATTCAACATTTAGAAATTTAGGAAATAATTAGGAATGCAAATACTTAGCTAGAGATGGTCTACCACTCTCTAAGATAGAGGAAATGGCCTAAATATCTACCAGAAGGGGGTTGGTTAGAGAAGCATTTGGTATATTCATACGTTGAAAGACAATAATTATTTTATTTTATTTTATTTATTGAGTCAGGGTCTCACGCTGTCACCCAGGCTGGAGTGCAGTGGAGTGATCTCTGCTCACTGCAGCCGCTACCTTCTGGGCTGAGGTGATTCTCCCACCTCAGCCTCTCTAGTAGCTGGGACTACAGGCATGAGCCACTAAACCGGGCACTTTGGGAGGCCAAGGCAGGCAGATCGCTTGAGCTCAGGAGTTTGAGACCAACTTGGGCAACATGGCAGAACTCCGTCTCTACAAAAATTATGAAAAGTAGCTCAGGTGATCACCTGAGCCTAGAGAGGTCAAAGCTGCAGTGAGCCATGATGTTGCCACTGCACTCCAGCCTGGGTGACAGAATGAGACCCTGTCTCTAAATGAATGAATAAATGAATGAGTGACTATTTAAATGAGTTGGGATTTTTTGTTGTTTTTGTTTTTTGAGATGGAGTCTCACTCTGTCGGCAGGCTGGAGTGCAGTGGTGTGATCTCAGTTCACTGCAGCCTCCACCTCCTGGGTTCAACCAATTTTCCTGCCTCAGCCTCCTGAGTAGCTGGGACTACAGGCGTGTGCCACCACGCCCAGCTAATTTTTGTATTTTTAGCGGAGACGGGGTTTCACCATGTTAGCCAGGATGGTCTCAATCTCTTGTCCTTGTGTTCCGCCCACCTCGGCCTCCCAAAGTGCTGGGATTACAGGCGTGAGCCACCACGTCTGGCCAAATGAGTATTTATGACTGAAAGATATTCACATTGAAGGGTTAACAATGTGATATAATTGGTATATTTTTATTTTATTTTTACATTTAAAAAAATTCTACAAGAAAAGTAACTTTCATATGTAGAAGATTGTTTTTCTGTTGGTCTCTACAGCTTGAGATTTCTCTGTAATTTATTGTTTCTCATCTTTTTTAGGTAGTGAAAATGAAAAGTAATTTGGAACGATTCCAAGTTACGAAGCTCTGTCCATTCCAAGAAAAGATTCGGAGACAGTATTTAAGCACAAATGTAAGGCAGCAATCTGATTTTTGCCTGATCTTCTTTCTCTTTGTAGTAAAATGATGAAATTGATTTTGCTTTCATGTAAATGAGTAGATACTTAATTTTCTTTTTTTTTTTTTTTTGAAACGGAGTCTCACTCTGTCGCCCAGGCTGGAGTACAGTGGCTCCATCTCAGCTCACTGCAACCTCTACCTCCTGGGTTCAAGCGATTCTCCTGCCTCAGCCTTCTGAGTAGCTGAGATTACAAGCGCATGCTGCCACGCCCAGCTAATTTTTGTATTTTAGTAGAGACGGGGTTTCACCATGTTGGCCAGGCTGGTCTCAAACTCGACCTCAGGTAATCAGCCCACCTTGGCCTCCCAAAGTGCTAGGATTACAGGCATGAGCCACTGCACCCGGCCAATACTTTATTTTCTGTTGCTCAAAGTACTGTTTTTTAATATTGAAATGTGTCATGCATTCAGAAGTATATAAAATACATACATATTTTTTAAATAATAAAATAACTGTCTGTTTACTCACCAATCAGGAAAATTAGTAGAATGTTGCCATAACCCATAGATATTCCCTGAGTGCCCCTGTCCAGTTGCATACCACTCTCTCTTCCCCTCCAGAGGTCATGACTAACCAAAGCATTTGTGATAACCATCTCCATGCTTTCCCTTAGAAAAGTTTTACAATCTGGCCGGGTGCGGTGGCTCATGCCTGTAATCCCAGCACATTGAGAGGCCAAGGCAGGCTGATCACTTGAGGTCAGGAGTTCCGAGACCAGTTCTGGCCAACATGGCGAAACCCTGTCTCTACTAAAAATACAAAAATTAGCCTGGCATGGTGGCGCATGCCTGTAGTCCCAGCTACTCGGGAGGCTGAGACAGGAGAATTGCTTGAACCTGGGAGACAGGGGTTGCGGTGAGCCGAGGTCATGCCACCGCACTCCAGCCTGGGTGACACAGTGAGACTCTGTCTCAAAAAGTTTTACAATCTATGTGTATGTTCTGAAAAATACATATTACTAATTTATTAATTTGGAAAAACTGAGTAGCAAGCACAAACCTAGCAGCGTAAGGAAAGATAGAATTGCCACTACTCATAGTAAGCAAAACTGTTCCTGGGTTCTATTTGGCATCAGCTTCCCTGATTGTTTACAGTGGGGAAAGTCAGTGGATGAGGTATTGAGAAGTGTCACTTTATGCCCAGCATTTTTAGCATTGTATTTAAAACAAGGTTAGAGCAACCACATCAGATCATTTGTATGTGCAGTTATACAAGCCCTCCCAGAGGTACCTTGGAAAGAATAGTACAGTCACGTGTTGCTTAACCACAGGGATGTGTTCTAAACAATTCATTGACAGACAGTTTTGTTGTATGAACCTCACAGAGTGTACTTAAAACCTAGCTATATAGCCTACTATACTTCTAGGCTATATGGTGTAGCCTGTTGCTCCTAGGCTACAAACCTGTACAGCATAGTACTGTACTAAATACTGTAAACAGTTTTAACACAATGGTATGTGTGTATCTAAACATAGAAAAGTTGCAGTAAAAATTCAGTATAAAAGATAAAAAGTGGTCCACCTGTAAAGGGCATTTACCATAAATAGAGCCTGCAGGACTGCAGGACTAGAAGTTGCTCTGGGTGACTCAGTGAGTGAATGTGAAGGCCTAGGACATTACTGTACACTACTGCAGAGTTTACTAACACTGTACACTTAGACTACATTAAATTTACAATATAGCTTTTTTTCTTCAATAATAAATTAGCCTTAGCTTACTATAACATTTTTACCTTATAAACTTTTAAATATTTTTAAAGTTTTTCATTCTTTGGAATAACACTTAACCTAAAACACCCATTGTATAGCTGTACAAAAGTATTTTCTTTGTATTCTTATTCTATAAGCCTTTCTCTCTCTCTTTCTCTCTCTCTCTCCCTCTCTCCGTATAGATATATATATTTTTTCTTTTTCTTTTTTTTTTTTTTTTTTTTGAGATGGAGTCTAGTTCTGTCGCCCAGGCTGGAGTGCAATGGCATGATCACAGCTCATTGCAACCTCTGCCTCCTGGGTTCAAGCGATTCTCCCGCCTCAGCCTCCCGAGTAGCTGGGATTACAGGCACCCACCACCACGCCCAGCTAATTTTTGTATTTTTAGTAGAGACCGGGTTTCACTGTGTCGGCCAGGTTGGTCTCGAACTCCTGACCTCGTGATCCACCCACCTCGGCCTCACAAAGTGCTGGGATTACAGGCGTGAGCCACCACGCCTGGTGCCTTTTTTCTATTTTTAATTTTTTTTTTCTTTTTAAACTTTTGTTAAAAACTAAGACACAAACACACATTAGCCTAGGCCTACACAGAGTCAGGATCATCACTATCACTGTCTTCCACCTCCACATCTTGTCCCACTGAAAAGTCTTCAGGGGCAGTAATGCACATGGAGCTGTCATCTCCTGTGAAACAATACCTTCTTCTGGAATACCTCCTGAAGGACCTGCGTACGGCTATTTTACAGTTAACTTTTTTATATATATAAGTAGGAGTACACCGTAAATAATGATTTTAAAATACAGTAAATAGATAAACCAGTAACATATTCATTATCATTATCAAGTATTAGGTCCTATACATAATTGTACATGCTATACTTTTATACAGCTGGCTACTTAATAGGTTCGTTTACACCAGCATCCCTACAAACGAGTGAATAATGTGCTGCTGTATGATGTTACGACATCACTAGATGATGGGAATTTCTCAGCTCTATTATAATCTGATGGGACCGCCATCATATATGCACATTATGTGGCACATGACTCTAGTTACAAATTTAAGATTCAGTATTCAATAAGTAGGATAAATAAAAGGGGAGTTTTACAATTGAAAGCTGAAAAATCATCAGCAAGATTTTTCATATTTATTTCCTAAATATTCTAAGTGGGTTTTCTTAAAATACAAAACAGCATTACTTATAATCAGATAGAAGCTTGGAGTGTCTTCTCACAGCAGGGCAAGGATGGCAGATAGGTTTCAGGTCATGTGCCTTCTCAATTGATTATAACTGCTTGGAGTGCTGTGTTGGAAAGGATGCTGAGGGCCAGGCGCGGTGGCTTACACCTGTAATCCCAGTACTTTGGGAGGCTGAGGCGGGTGGATCACCTGAGGTCAAGAGTTCGAGACCAGCCTGGCCAACACAGTGAAACCCCATCTCTACTAAAAATACAAAAAATTAGCCGGGCGTTGTGGCAAGTGCCCCTAATCCCAGCTACTCGGGAAGTTGAGACAGGAGAATTGCTTGAACCTGGGAGGCGGAGATTGCAGTGAGCTGAGATCGTGCCATTGCATCTAGCCTAGGCAACAAGAGTGAAACTCCATCTCAAAAAAAAAAGAAAAGGATGCTGAGGCCATGCATAGCCTTGCAGAAGGATATGGTGTTCATGTCTTCCAATTGATAATATAGATACTGCTGCCCATCAAACAGAATAAGTAATTTTTATAGTTTCCAGACAGAGCTAAATATTACTATCCCCCATAATGATAAACAGGTATGGCAGTAAGGGTAATTTTTTTAACTCTGTACCCCTCAGACCTAAACATTGACATGCCAAAGGAATTTAGGACTTCCTGATCTCCATCTCCATCCTCCCAGACTTGGCAAAACTTTACTTCTAAACACATAAACACTGTCCACCTCCAAGGAAACATATTCCAGAGACTTCTACCTCAAAAGTCAGTATAAGCCAGATGCGGTGGTATGCACATGTAGTCCCAGCTACTCAAGAGACTGAGGCAGGAGGATCACTTGAAATCAGGAGTTTGAGACTATAGTAAACTAAAATTGCACCTGTGAATAGCCACTGCACTCCAGCCTGGGCAACGTAGTGAGACCATGTCTCAAAAAAATAAAAAAGATTCCATATGATCCTGTTGACTTCTAGCTATGTCCATGATGAGGGCAAAATTCTTAATCTACTCAAAGATCTATAGTCCTGACCCAAGACATGACATAGCACATTGTGTGAAGCATTGAAACCATTTAGGTTTTCTGTAATCTGCTGAGTTGTATTGAACTCCTGAAATGCTGGAGTTGGAAAAACCCTAAAAATAGCAAACTGTTTCACAAAATTATGCAGAATTAACTGCAGGAGCTTTTGAAAATCAAAGATTCTTGGGTCTCATCCCAGGCCTGTTGAATCAGAATCTTCAGGAGAATAAGGCATTTTTCCAGTGTTCTGCCAAGATGTATATACGGGGCTGGGCACAGCAGCTCACGCCTGTAATCCCAGCACTTTGAGAGGCTGAGGCAGGAAGATTGCTTGAGCCCAGGAGTTCGAGACCAGCCTGGGCAGCATAGCAAGAGTCCATCTCCACTATTTAAAAAAGAAAAAAAAAAAAAACCTGGCCGGGCATGGTGGCTCAGGCCTGTAATCCCAGCACTTTGGGAGGCTGAGGTGGGTGAATCACTTGAGGCCAGGAGTTCAAGACCAGCCTGGCCAACATGGTGAAATCCCATCTCTACTAAAAATACAAAAATTAGCCAGGTGTGGTGGCTCATGGTTGTAATCCTAGCTACTCGGGAGTCTGAGACATGAGAACTGCTTGGACCTGTGAGGTGGAGGCTGCAGTGAGCCAAAATCACACCATAGCACTCCAGCCTGGGTGACAGAGCAAGACTCTGTCTCAAAAAATAAAATAAAATAAAATAAAGTTTATACTACCATCCTGGCCTTAGTTGGCTGACCAGTATTCAAATCTAGAAAATCACAGATATAGTTCAGACCCCTCGTTTGACAGAAGGAATTGAGGCCTGGAGCACAATTGTGACTTTCATATTGTCCTATTATTGGTTAATGACAGGACAGCCATTACAACCGCAGCCTTTTCACTGCCCCCTACTTTCTGTCTTTCCTTTCCACACAAAATGTGTCTGACAGCACCTTCTCAGAGGGCTTGCACATTACCTCATTGACTGGGGAAATACAGAGGAGCTCCGAAACTACACTCTGAAGTGTGTGCCAGATTTGGGTTGGAAGGATTAACTTCCCCTGCTTTTGCCCAGTTGTTAAGTGTCTTGCTGTGTTTTTCAGTTGGTAAGTCACATAGAAGAGATGCTCCAGACAGCCTACAACAAGCTCCACACATGGCAGTCACGGCGTCTGATGAAGAAAACGTGAGGTGGCCATGATGCTTACAGGTTTTGTGAGATTGAGAGAACTATGACCTGCAGCAACTCTGGAAACCTGGCCTGACAGACAAGCAGATGACCTCACAGGAGTGATAAGAAACATCTGCTCCACGCCAACTCCCAGAGCTGATGCTATTGTACTTGCACATTGGAGACTGAAAGGAAAGAAGGGACTAAATGCTGGGGAGGTAAATTAAGACAGAACCAAATGAGCTAAGTTGCAAATATATATATATACACACACACACATATATGTACATGTGTATGTACATATATATTTTAAAAGACTGTTTACTGCAGTTGCTCAGGAACTGCTTTTGATTCACATTAAGCTGCTTTCAGAAATTAAAAAAACACTTTTTAAAGGGTGCATTGATAAAATCTGAGGTTTTTTGGTTGTCGTTTTTTTCTGTGTACATTTTTTTCCTAAGTTTATGGCACAGGGTAGACCTTAAGTATTCCTCCTCCATCCTTCATTCTTCACCCTCCATTGGATCCTCAAGTTTTAATGAATTCCAATTATACCTTACATCAGCAAGTTAAAAAAAGTACTTTAAAATAAAGCAAAGGGAGACTGTTGCTCAACCATCAGGAAACAGTTGTCAGAAGACATCATTGGTTCTGTGTTTCCTACGGAAATAAGAAACGATAAATATTGCACTGAATGTTTGTGGTTTGGAGTCCCTGAATAATAAAGAGGGAATATATTTGCAGAAAGTCGCATAGGGTTTTTTAATGCAGAATTTTGTCAGAAGACAATGGCGCTGCATGTTTTTCTTTGAGTGCAAATGTACATTGCTAAGATTTTTTTAAGATGGCATGTGCTTTGAAAAGAAGATATTGCATTTTTAAGAGTTTAAAAATCTTATGAGTGAGAAATATTAAAAAAATCTTATTTTCACCTCTTTAGAAGAAATAAAAGATGTTTCTCCTATCTCCTTTTCTCTAGTATTTGACTGTTACTGTCCTTGGCGAATCGATAATCATTGCATAGTGACTGAAAAGCCTAAGTGCAAAAAAAAAAAAAAAAGATGTTCTTGTTTCTGAACTTCGTGCCATATTTTGTTCCTGATGGGATCAACTTAATGTTTAAGACTTTAGATGTCTTGTATTAAAAATTACACAAAAAAAGTAAAACTTTTTATACTTACCCTTTTAACTCTAACACATCTCTGGTTTCTCATTATGTGTGAATTTCCTTGGGTGGGCTGCCTGAGAACTGTTCATTTTATTTTAGGCCATGTTACAAACTGGTTATCCTTCATATAATGACTGCTAAGGTCAGAATCTAAGCCAGGCATGGTAGCACATGCCTGTAGTTCCAGCTACTTGGGAGGCTGAGGTAGGAGGATCACTTGAGCCCAGAAGTTCAAAAGTCCAGACTGAGCAACATAGTGAGACTCCATCTCTTTTTTTACAGAAAAAAAAAGAAAAATTTATGAAGACCTTGAACTGGTAAAGGGAAAGAAGCCACATCATTTTCTGCCTTCAGTCTTCCCATTTCTCTTTCAGATCAGTATATGTACTGGTATAATCCCTTAAAATTTACACTTTCACAAAGTACTTTCAAATGTGTTACTGCTACAGTGGGGCAAATAGAAAAATGATTGAAATAAAAAAAAGTGGCTATTGGGCAAGGCAGACATAAGAAATAGAATGTTCTGTTGAGTGCTGTGTTGAAAATTAAGTTGTAAGCTGGGCATGGTGAGTCATACCTGTAATCCAGCACTTTGGGAGGCCAAGGCAAGAGGATCACTTGAGCTCAGGAATTCAAGACCAGCCTGGGCAACATAGCAAAACCTCATCTCTACTAAAAGTAAAAAAAGTTAGCTGGGCGTGGTGGTATGTGCTTGTAGTTCCAGCTGCTCTGGAGGCCGAGGCGGGAGGATTGCATGAGCCCAGGAGATTGAGGCTGCAATGAGCTATGATCACACCACTGCACTACAGCCTGGACAGTAAGACAAAGCCCTGTCTCAAAAAAAAAAAAAAAAAAAAAAAAAATATATATATATATATATATATATATATATAAAGCCTGAAGGAAAGACTTCATTTAAAAGAGCGTTTTAGCTAAGTCTTGAAGGTTGAGTAGGATTTTGTGAGGTAGAGAAGAAAGTCATCTCTTCTAGACTGAGGGAAGAGCATGATGATGAGAAGGTTTGAAAGACTGAAATATGTTAGAAGAACAGGAAAGATGTGTTAGATTGGAGAGTTGGAAGTGACAAGTAAGGCTCAGAAAACCATGTTAATTCAGGTTGTGAATGGCCTTGTATGCTAAAGTAAAATACTCAGACCTTACCTACTAGGCATGGGAGACTTGAGAGAAAGTTTTAAGCAAGTTGCTTTTATGGGGGGGTTTTCTGGTGGTGGGGGGTTAGGCAGGGGTTAAATAACTTGGCAATTAGGACAGATTTAGAAGACTTTCTGAACAAACCACACAGGAAAGCGTCTACATTAAAATGAAGTCCTGGTAAATAGGAAGGGCCTGAGTAACAGCATTTCTACAGTGTATGTGACTAACTCACAGGGAGTGAAGGAATCAAGGGTGATTCACAGAGATAGCTGTGAATTTCATGTCTAGCTTGCACTTGAAATATTTGAGCCTTGGATACCTTTAGCAATGAACTTCAGCAGCTGTATAGGCCTTTTATGGCCCTTCACCTTCTTGCGGAAAATAATAGCACCACTGATGGTTGAGGGCTGCTGTAAACCAGCATTGTGCCAAACACTTTTTCTGCTGTATCTCCCTTCCCACAACTGAAGAAGCAAGTAGATACTACAAGATTTTGTACAGATTAGAAATGGTTTAGAGGTTAAGTAATTTACCCAAATTCACACAGCTAGTAAGTGTCAGAGCTAGGATTTACCCTAAGGCTTCTCTAGTCTGGAGAAGGGATGAGATGTCTGTGAAGTTGCAAGTTGTTATTCCGCAGCCCAGGCTTCCATTGCCTAGTTTTTCCTTTGACTCCTTTGTCATTCCTGCCTGACTCTATTCTGTGCTTTACTTGTGGCAAATCGCATCATGGGATTAGTCTGCCTAGTAGGCCCTGAGGGCTATAAAATGTAATAATGTAACAACAGCATGTCCTGCCTTAGGAGAATGAGTCTTTTCTGGAAAGAAAGTCAGTAGTGGCCTAGCGCAGTGGCTCACACCTGTAATCCCAGCACTTTGGGAGGCCGAGGCGGGTGGATCACCTGAGGTCAGGAATTCGAGACCAGCCTACCCAACATGGCGAAACCCCATCTCTACTAAAAATACAAAAAATTAGTCAGGCGTGGTGGCAGGCACCTGTAATCCCAACTACTCAAGAGGCTGAGGCAGGAGAATCGCTTGAACCTGGGAAGTGGAGGCTGTGTCGAGCCGAGATCAAGCCACTCTGCTCCAGCCTGGGCAACAAGAGCGAAACTCCATCTCAAAAAAAAAGTCAGTAGTGTTAGTCTGCTTTAGACATACTACAAAGTGGGTGAGGTACCTTGTAAAATCCACTTCAGGATGGAAAACAAAAGAATGTTTTAACATCTGTAACTAGAAAGGTAACCCCACTCATCGAGTCTGAAGAGTTTAATCCAGAAAGTGATTTCCTGTTGCATATACCATCTTTCTAGAGCTGACAGTGTCTGGAATGGAAAGCTGTGTGTTTCAAACTTAGGTTTGCTGTCTCCAGTGTCAAGACTTGCATGGGATTCCTTAGGATTACCTCTGCCCTTTCCCAATTTAGCTCCCTCAAGACTCAGCTGTTCTCCCAGTTCTTGAGGCCAGGGGAGTCTTAGTTATTTTCAGCTATTAAAATGTCCAGAACTGGAGTATTGCCTGGAACCTGGTTCAGGAGTGACCAGCCTGAGTTAGTAGTCCATCTCCTTGTTTGGGTGTATATTAAAGTCACAGAAGAGACTGGAAATCTTGTCATCTCGTGGCCACTACTGACTTTCTTTCCATCCTGGGTGGAGTTACATATGTGTGTGTGTGTGTGTGTGCATGCTATATATATGTGTGTGTGTGCAATACATATAGTGAAAACATAATTCGTGGGGTTTTTTTTTCCCTGAGTTTTGAATAGTGCTGAAGTATATAAAATAGAAAGTGTCTCTGTACCCTTACTTCCAAGTCTTTCCTGAGGTGATGGTCAGTGCATCTTCTTCTGGACATTTGTCTATGCCCTTAAATTCTTTTCTAACCTGCAACCTGAGATTTTTCTAACAAAGAGATACCTGTGCACCTGAACATGCCCTTTAAGATAATCCTTTTAGTTAGGCATGGTGGAATGCACCTGTAGTCAGGAGGTAGGCAGGAGAATCACTTGGGCCCAGGAGTTTGAGGTTGCAGTGAGCTATGATCATGCCACTGCACTCCAGCCTGGATGACAGCTAGACCCTGCCTCTTAATTTTTTTTTTTTTAATTTTTAAAAGTTAGAAAATGACCGGGCATGGTGGCTCACACCTGTGATCCCAGCACTTTGGGAGGCCAAGGTGGATGGATCCCTTGAGCCCAGGAGTTCAAAACCAGGCTGGGCAACATGGTGAAACCCCCTTTATACAAAAAAAAAAAAAAAAAAAAAAAAAATTAGCCTGGCATGGTGGCATGTGCCTGTGGTCCCAGCCACTCAGGAGACAGGAGATTGAGATGGGAAGATAGCTTGAGCCTGGGGGGTTCAGGCCGCAATGAGCTGTGTTCACGGCACTGCACTCCAGCCTGGGCAACAGAGCAAGACCCCGTCTCTAAATAAATGAATAAAAAGATAATCCTTAACAAAGGGGCTCATATCCTTAGAGAAGAATCCATTAGTGATCCTATTTCTGCCAAATTCTTGTAAATTTTGGTCCTACCCATTTGTATCTGTTTCTGACACATGGTTATTCTTTTCCTTTTTCTTTTGTCTTTTTTTTTTTTTTTGAGGTGGAGTCTTGCTCTGTCACCCAGGATGGAATGCAGTGGCACCATCTCGGCTCACTGCAACCTCTGCTTCCTGGGTTCAAGTGATTCTCGTGCTTCAGCCTCCCAAGTAGCTGGGATTACAGGCACCCGCCACCATGCCCGGCTAATTTTTGTATTTTTAGTGGAGACGGGGTTTTGCCATGTTGGCCAGGCTGGTCTTGAACTTCTGACCTCCTTCTGATCCGCCTGCTTCAGCCTCCCAAAGTGCTGGGATTACAGGCATGAGCCATCATGCCCGGCCACCTGGTTATTCTTGAGAACAGGTTATATACCTGTGCTGAATACACATCTTCAAGACTTCACATATATCAACCATATCCTTACTGCCCTTGAACATTTAGACCTACAGAATAAGGAATGGAGAGTAAGTCAAGTGTTCTGACAGCCCCTTCACAGGATTTATCCACATCCCTGCAGCAGTGGACACATAGTATAGCATGTGTCTGTTGGATGCTATACTTTGGTACTAGGCTGTTTGGGTTCAAATCTCACCTGTCTAAAACACTAGCTGTAAACCATTTGCTTAATCTGTGTCTTCATTTCTCCATCTACAAAATAGGTCTAGTAGTAGCATTTAACTGATAGGTTGTTGTGAGGATAGCTGAGATGTCTATAAGCCACTTAGAGCAGAGTCCAGCACACCACAAGTGCTATGCAAGTGTTTGCTGTAATGAATGTTGATAAGGCTTCCCCTGAGTCACGCAGTGAAAGACTGCAGCACCTTCTTGTTTTTATTGTTTAACCTTAGAAACCTAAATGGAGGAAAATTCCCTCAAAGAAAAGTAAAAGTGCTTTCTTCTGTGCCTTCATTTTCCCCACAAAACCTGTACGTATTTGATTTTCTTAGATCATCTTTACTAGATTGATTAGTAGACACTTTTTTGTGGTGACCTGCATTCTCCAAATTTTGAGCTCTTTTTTTTTTTCTTTTTGAGACAGGGTCTCAGACTGTCACCCAGGCTGTAGTGCAGCCACATGATCATAGCTCACTGCAGCCTCCAACTCCTGGGCTCAAGTGATCCTCCCAGCTCAGCCTCTCAAGTAGCTAGGACTACAAGCTCGCACCACCATGACTGGTTAATTTTTTGAATTTTTTTCATAGAGATGGGGTCTCACTATGTTGACCAGGCTGACCTTGAACTCCTGGGCTCAAGCAGTCCTCCCTCCTCAGCCTCTCAAAGTGCTGGGATTACAGGTACAAGCCACTGCACCCGGCTTAAAATTTTTTCTTTAAATAGAAGTTGGGATCAAACTTGAGTTAAAAGAAAAAGCCATTTAGAGTATGCTGAGTTAGCAGGAGAGCAACCTTAAAACTTGATTCAATAGGTGCGAAGGGTTTATCTTCAAAACAAAGTCACTAACAGGTTTCAGTTAGCATGTCCTAAATATGGTGGTTTGGCATTGTAACAGTTACATATCACAATTATAACTTAGATAAGAAGGAATTTCCTTAAAAAATACAACAGCGATCCATTTTCTTTGTCAGATGAATAAATTAAGAGAAGTCTAACTTATATGATGAAGCACTCAAGATGTAAGGTAAGCTGCCTGGGTTCAAATTCCAGCCCTGTCATTTACTAGCTGGCTAGCTGTGTGATTACTTATCTCTCCATGCTTCAGTTTTTCTTTCTCTTTCTTTCTTCTTTTTTTTTTTTTTTTTTTTTTTTAAGAGACTAGGTCTCACTCTGTGGCCCAGGTTGGAGTGCAGTGGCACAATCACAGCACTGCAGCCTCCACCTCCCGGACTCAAGCAATCCTCCCACCTCAGCCTCTGGAGTAGCTAGGACTACAGGCACATGCCACCATGCCTGGCTAATTTTTGTATTTTTTGTAGAGACAAGTTCTTGCCATGTTGCCCAGACTAGTCTTGGACTCCTGGGCTCAAGCAATCTGCGTGCCTCGGCCTCTCAAAGTGCTGGGATTACAGGCAGGAGCCACTGCACCCTCTTTCTTTCTCTGTCTCTTTCTTTCCCCCCGCCACCACCACCCCCCGACCCGACTTTAGTTTCTTAATTTGTAACATGAGCATAATAGTAGTACTTACAGATTTACCGTGAAGGTTAAATGAGCTAATATAGAATAGTGCCTGGCTCAAAATGACCGTTCAATAAATGTTCTTTCTTTTTTTTTCTGAGAATAAATGTTCTTTCTATCATTTATTACTATTACAGTCATATATCACTTAACAATGAGGATATGTTCTGATAAATGGATCGTTAGATGAGTTCATTACTGTATGAACATCACAGACTGTACTTATACTTATTCCTCCCGCCTCGGCCTCCCAACATGTTGTAGGCTATACCTCCTGGATGGTATAGCCTACAAAACATAGAGGCTATGTGGTACAGCCTATTGATTTGAAGCTATAAACCTGTACAGCATGTTACTATACAGAATAGTGTGAAGAAATAGTAACACAAGAGTATTTGTGTATCTAAACATAGGAAAGATACAGTAAAAGTATGGTACAGTATTATAACCTTACAGGACCACCCTTGTATATGCAGTCCATTGTTGACCAAAACATTATGAGGCTCATGACTCTATTATTATTACTTACCATTACCAGGCTTCAGTTCAAAGCTTATTGACTTAGGGCCAGGCGCAGTGGCTCACGCCTGTAATCCCAGCACTTTGGGAGGCTGAGGCTGGCGGATCACGAGGTCAGGAGACCGAGACCATCCTGGCTTACACAGTGAAACCCCGTCTCTACTAAAAAAAAAAATTAGCAGGGCATGGTGGCGGGCGCCTGTAGTCCCAGCTACTCGGGAGGCTGAGGCAGGAGAATGGCGTGAACCCAGGAGGTGGAGCTTGCAGTGAGCCGAGATTGCGCCACTGCACTCCAGCCTGGGTGACAGAGCGAGGGGAAAAAAAAAGCTTATTGACTTAGGCTGCCATATAACAACATTGGTAAAAAGCTGAGGTAGAGATCAAGGGAAAGAAACTCTTATTAGTTAGTTTACTACTATCTACTATCTATTAGATCTGTTTGCCAAATATTTGCCATGCTATATGACCATTCTTATTTCATCCTCAAGATTCATTCAATAATTATTAAGCTACTGTGCATCAGTATACAGCCTTCTACTTATAAAGTCTCAAATTGACTGGGTACAATGGCTCACACCTGTAATCAGCACTTTGGGAGGCCAAGGCAGGCGGATCACCTGAGGTCAGGAGTTCAGGACCAGCCTGGCCAACATGGTGAAACCCCATCTCTACTAAAAATACAAAAATTAGCTGGGCATGATGGCTCATGCCTGTAATCCTAGCTACTCAGGAGGCTGACGCAGGAGAATTGCTTGAACCCAGGAGGCAGACATTGCAGTGAACCGAGATCACACCACTGCAGTCCAGCCTGGGCAACAGAGTGAGACTCCATCTCAAAAATAAATAAACAAATAAATAAATAAATAAAAGTCTCAATTTATTGGTCAGGTGTGGTGGCTTTATGCCTGTAATCCCAGCTCTTTGGGAGGCCAAGGCATACGGATCACTTGAAACCAGGAGTTCGAGACCAACCTGGGCAATATGGGGAGACCCCTGTCTCTACAAAAAATAAAAATTAGCCAGGTGTGGTGGCACATGCCTGTAGTCCCAGCTTCTCCAGAGGCTGAGGTGGTAGGATCACTTGACCCGGGAAGTTGAGGCTGCAGTGAGCCATGATCATGCACTGTAAGGTGGACAACAGAGACCCTGTGTCAAAAGTAAAAATAGAAAGCCTCTGGTTATTAAAAAGCATTGTCCTGGCCAGGCACAGTGGCTCATGCCTGTAATTCCAGCACTTTGGGAGGCCAAGGCAGGTGGATCACTTGAGGTCAGGAGTTTGAGACCAGCCTGGCCAACATGGCAAAACCCTGTCTCTACTAAAAATACAAAAATAAGCTGGGCGTGGTGGTGCACACATGTAATCCCAGCTACTCGGGAGGCTGAGGCACGAGAATAGCTTGAATCCAGGAGGCGGAGGTTGCAGTGAGCTGTGATCGCACCACTGCACTCCAGCCTGGGTGACAAATAAACAAATCACTGTCCTAGATGATGGGCAAAATGCCCTCGTGAAGCTTACTTAAGAATAAACAGGCTTGGAGAGATGAAAAGCCCCTGCATCCAACTCGGGATTGGAGAGCTAAGATTCAAATTCAGCTCTTGAATGCAAATTCTGTGCATCTACTGACCTCTCTCTCCCTACCCTCCTCACTCTCTCGCTAACCTCCTCACTCTCTCCCTAACCTGATCTTGCAGGCTGGAAATTTTTCTTCTACCTGATATAAATAATTGGGAGCAGGAGAGCTATTTTATTTCTATCAGGCCTCACACTGACAAGCACAGATGGCTCTGAGGCTGAGACTGCTTTATTCTCCAAAAGTGCAGTGAAGGAGATGGATTACTGGATCTGAAGTCACTAGGGAGGCTTGAATTCTGCTGTTGGTACCGCTAAGCATCCATTATGCACTAGGCCCTCAAAAGAATTCAAAGGGCCATTACTGTGTTTTTTTCTCTTGGCTTTAGACTTTTCAAAAATTAATTTTGTTTTTTTTAGCAACATTTTATGTGCTCATAATTTAAAAAGTGAAAAGCACTAGAAGGCACATTTCAAAATACCACGTCCACTATCCCACTCACTGCCCCCTACCCTTTATTCTCTCTTCACTGAATCAATTACTTTCCACTCTTTTAGCTGACAGTATACCATTCTTATTAATTTTGTTATTTTCTACTGACTTTCTATTATGGTAGTTGAAGATTTAGTGTTCTTATAATACCATTACTCCTTTCCCCTCGACTCCAGGCTCCTGATATAGTTATTTCACAGTTTTTCGATAATTAATAGTGTTTACATTTTGATTATGTGAATATTGTTTAGTGGTTGAGACAGGATCCTGGCAGGATACAAATGGCACCCTTAAACTGGGTTATTTGAAGAGATTAAAGGGACAATTTACAAAGGTGTGGGCGGCATGTCCAGAAACCAAGCAAAGGCCTGATGAGGGAATGGGAAGAAGTTAACAGGAGAGAAGAGAGACCCCTGAGAAGAGGTAAGGGGCAGGGTCTGCCCATGGTCCTGCAGAGAGGGTGCAATCTCACTCTTCTTCCTCACTCCCAGTCTTCACCAGTGAAGGTGGAGGACAGGAGACACCATGGCTGTGTGGTCCATTCAGGTCAACCCCCAGAGCCCAGAGCAGTATGGCAAAGAGAAATGTAGACCTGCAAGGCAAAAAGATGTTCAGAATTACAACCAGGCAGAGTCAACTATAAAACCCTCAGCTGGGCTGGGCATGGTGGCTCATGCTTGTAATCCCCAGCAGTTTGAGAGGATCACATGTACCCCAGGAAGGTTGAAGCTACAGTGGGTGGTGATCACACCTCTGCATTCCAGCCTGGATGACAGAATGATACCTTGTCTCTAAAAAAAAAAAAAAAAAAATAGTATTTATGGGACTTTTCTCTGAGGCTGTTCAGTCTCTCCAAAGAAGGGACCTCCAGGTTTCGGGAATGTAAGCCTGGATGCCACCCTTCTGGGAATCACCTGGGGAAGGGAGCTCTCTGTATACAGACAATCTCCTATGCCCCAGCGCTCTCACCATTGTGCTTGGGCCCTGATTGCATTTCCTCAGAAAATAAACCTGTTCTCACTTAAGGTGGAGGCAGGAGGTAGCCATTTTGTTTCAGGGTGGGAATAGAAGTCTGAGAGCCTAGCATTTCCTTATAGCCCCTGTTACAGCCCCACACTTTACCCTTCCCTTCCATGGTACCTGGTACCTCCAATTCCTGAGACTGAACAGTGCTCTTCAGAGCAAATCAGCTTCCATCTCTTCACTCCCTCCCTGTGTGGGCACTTGAATTTCACTATGGTCTCAGTCTCCACTGATTTCTACTTTCCAAAGCATTGCTGGCAGACTTCTCATCTTCCAGTCCCTTCATTTTTGTGTGTTATTTTCCTATCACTTTAGTGGGGCTTGAGGAAGGAGTTAAGATAAATGTATCAGGTCAATTCATCATGTTTAACCAGAGGTCCACTAGCATTGAGTTTTGGTAATGTTTTATTTTTGTGTTTAGGCGCATGCTCACCATTTCATGACTGAAAGCCCCATAAGATGGTTGCTGTAAACTGATGTTCTCCATCCTCTTATTAGCTAGTCACAGTGCCTTGTGATATACCAAGCCAAAGTTTCCGCGTGAGCATGTCACTGTCATTCCACTACCAAGTTCTTCATTAGCCCAGTGTTTTTTCTTTTTAAAAAAAATTTTTTTTTTGAGATAGGGTTTTACTCTGTCGCCCAGGCTGGAGTGCAGTGGGGCAAACCTGGCTGACTGGAGATCAGGTGATCCTCCTTGCCTCAGTCTCCCAAGTAACTGAGACCACAGGCACATGACACCATGCCCAGCTAGTTTTGTTGTTTTTTTTTTTTTTTTTTGAGACTTGCACTGTCGCTCTGGCTGGAGTGCAATGGCACGATTTCAGCTCACTGCAACCTCCGCCTCCCAGGTTCAAGCAATTCTCCTGCCTCAGCCTCCCGAGTAGCTGGGATTACAGGCGCCTGCCACCATGCCTGGCTAATATTTTGTATTTTTACTAGAGATGAGATTTCACTATGTTGGCCAGGCTGGTAATTTTTTTTTTTTTTTTTTTGAGACGGAGTCTCGCTCTGTCACCCAGGCTGGAGTGCAGCGGCACAATCTCGGCTCACTGCAAGCTCCGCCTCCCGGGTTCACGCCATTCTCCTGCCTCAGCCTCCTGAGTAGCTGGGACTACAGGCACCCACCACCACGCCCGGCAAATTTTTTGTATTTTTTTAGTAGAGACGGGGTTTCACCGTGTTAGCCAGGATGGCCTCTATCTCCTGACCTCGTGATCCACCCGCCTCGGCCTCCCAAAATGCTGGGATTACAGGCGTGAGCCACCACTCCCGGCTGGTAATTTTTTAATTTCTGTGGAGATGGGGTCTCACCATGTTGCCCAGGCTTGTCTCGAACTCCTGGGCTCAAACATTTTTCCTGCCTCGGCCTCCCAAAGTGCTGGAATTACAGACATGAGTCACTGCGCCCAGCCTAACCCATTGTTTTCTAAAGTGTGGTTAGCACACCTCCAGGAGGTTGAGAGAGTAAATTTCAGATGAATTAACTTTTTTTAATTGTAAAACTTATATATTTTAATGTATATGTGTTTTTAAACATAACTGGCATTAGCCAGACACAGTGGCACACACTTGTAGTGCCAGCTACCTGGGAGGCTGAGGCAGGAGTTCACAGCTATAGTGCATTATGATCGCACCTGTGAATAGTCAGTCACTGTGGTCCAGCCTGGGCAACACAGCAAGATCCCCATCTCCAAAAAAAAAAAAACCCAGGTGCGGTGGCTCACGCCTGTAATCCCAGCACTTTAGGAGGTCGAGGTGGGCAGATCACGAGGTCAGGAGTTTGAGATCAGCCTGGCCAACACAGTGAAACCCCATCTCTACTAAAAAAAATACAAAAAATTGGCCGATTGTGGTGGCAGGCGCCTGTAGTCCCAGCTACTCACGAGGCTGAGGCAGGAGAATTGCTTGAACCCAAAAGATGAAAGTTGCAGTGAGCTGAAATCATGCCACGCCACTGCACTCCACCCTGGGGGAGAGAGCGAGACTCTGTCTCAAAAAAAAAAAAAAAAGAAAAGAAAAGAAAAATAAGAAAGGTAATTGGCATGTCAGGCCCATATTTTGCTAAGGATAAGTCTAAGTAAAATAGTCAATTTAAAGAAAAGTGCTAAATAAATGATAGTATAGGTGCTATTCAGGAAAGGCAAGCATTGTGACGGTGACTACAATATGATAAACACTAATCCTGCAGGTAGCTAGTACTACTAATCCAGAAAAGAGATTTTAGAAGCCAATTTCCTTCCAAAATAGCCCCAGGACTTGTGCTCTTCTGCCTCCCCTAATCCCCAGACTGGAGTGGAACCTGTACAGTGCAGTCTTCACTTCCCCAGAAATCACTGTTTGTTTTTGTGGAATAAACAGCTTGCTGGTTGCAAGAGGCTGCCTACAAATGGTGTGGACTAGAATAGCAACTTCAGTGGCCTCCCTCTTAGAGCTACATTTACACTCCCCAGGGACCTCCCTTCCTTTGCACCTTGCTCTGAGACACAGGCTGAGAAAATGGGAGGGCTGGTAATTGACAGCTACCTGGAGGGTTCAGTCCTTAGCCCCGGGCAGAACAGTTGTCTCCTCATCTGTCCTAGAACTGCTCTTAGCACAGCTCCAGCCCAGACAAGGCAGCAGCAGGTGGGGAAGCAGGTAGTGTCAAAGATCTCGCTCCTGGCTCCTCTGGGCCTTCCCCTCTTCTTAGGTTGGGCTCCTGGGAGCTTCCCAGGAAGCATCTTCAGTTCCACATTGCAAATTGCCCAAAAGGGATAGAAAAGAGAATTAATATTTATTGAGTACCTACTGAGCACTGGAACTTTACTTTTTTTTTTGAGACGGAATCTTGCTCTGTCACCCAGGCTGGAGTACAGTGAAACGATCTCAGCTCACTGCAACCTCCACCTCCCAGGTTCAAGTGATTCTCCTGCCTCAGCCTCCGGAGTAGCTGGGATTACAGGTGCGTGCCACAATACCCAGCTAATTTTTTGTATTTTTAGTAGAGACGGGATTTCACTGTGTTAGCCAGGATGGTCTACAATCTCCTGACCTTGTGATCCGCCCGCCTCAGCCTCCCAAAGTGCTGGGATTACAGGCGTGAGCCACCGTGCCCGGCCTGGAGCTTTACATTTAAAGCTTATGACAACCTATGACAATGGTATTACCGTCTGGGTGCGGTGGCTCACACCTGTAATCCCAGCACTTTGGGAGGCTGAGGTGGGCAGATCACCTGAGGCCAGGATTTTGAGACCAGCCTGGCCAACATGCCAAAACCCAGTGTCTACTAAAAATACAAAAAATTAGCCAGGCGTGGTGGTGGGCACCTGTAATCCAAGCTACTCCAGAGGCTGAGGCGGGAGAACCACTTGAACCTGGGAGGCAGAGGCTGCAGTGAGCAAAGATCGTGCCATTGCACTCCAGCCTTGGCAACAAGAGCAAAACTCCATCTCAAAAAAAAAGAAAAAGGAACAGTATTACCCCTATTCTACTGAGGCCCCATGAGATCAAGAAACTTGCCCATGTTCTCACAATGAGTGGCAGAGCCAGTTAAACCCAGGGCAGTGTGAGGCCAAAGCAAAGAGCTGTCCTGAGCAGGCCAGTTCCCCCAGAGACATGTGGCTCACTCTGCTGCTGTCTGGTCAATTATATGGCTGCCTCTTTCCAACCTGTGAGGAAAACAAAACTGAAGGAGGCCAGAGCCTCCTGGGCAGGGGCTGGCTTTCTGAATCCATGCAAGGGGCAGAGACAATCCAGTGTTTGACAATGACCAGAAACATTCATGTGCTTTACATCCTAGACACACCATAAAAAACTGGGAAACTGGTAGCCAGCCCAATCTTGTATATACAACTGACATTAGTCCTAAGTAATAAGGTGTTTCTCTTTTAAAAAGCAGTGGAGGGATGGGCATGGCGGCTCACATGCCTGTAATCCCAGCACTTTGGGAGGCCAACGTGGGAGGATTGCTTGAGGCCAGGTGTTCAAGACCAGCCTGGGCAACATAGTGTTCCCTGCCCCCCCATCTCTAATTTTCGGGGGAAAACAAAAGCAGGGGAACAAGTTTTAGAGCAGCCTTTATCTGAGCAAGGGGTCAAAGATAGAATTGGGCAAGGACCAAAAAGGATTCTAAGAATCAGTTACAGTCCAAAATGGGCCAGGCATGGTGACTCACGCCTGTAATCCCAGCACTTTGAAAGGCCAAGTCAGGTGGATCACTTGAGGTCAGGAGTTCAAGACCAGCCTGGCCAACATGGTGAAACCCCATCTCTACTAAAAATACAAAAAATTAGCTGGACGTGGTGGTGGGCGCCTGTAATCCCAGCTACTTGGGAGGCTGAGGCAGGAGAACTGCTTGAACCCAGGAGGCAGAAGTTGCAGTGAGCCTAGATCGCGCCATTATACTCCAGACTGGGCAATAAGAGTGAAACTTCATCTCAAAAAAAAAAGAAAAAGGAAAGAAACTCTGTCTCTACTAAAAATACAAAAATTAGCTGGGTGCAGTGGCGCATGCCTGTAGTGTCAGCTACTCAGGAGGCTGAGGCAGGAGAATTGCTTGAACCCAAAAGATGAAAGTTGCAGTGAGCTGAAATCATGCCACGCCACTGCACTCCACCCTGGGGGAGAGAGCGAGACTCTGTCTCAAAAAAAAAAAAAAAAATTACAGTCCAAAATAGATGAAACAAACTGTCAGAACAGGAACCACAAACTCGCCTCTTCCCAAGTCATTTTCCTGCAATAGGAATATGGTTTATTGGGCAATCACCCTGTGCCAAGTACTTTTGTTTGCATTAAACCTTTCACATGGGGGCTATCATTTTTTTTTATGTCACAGACACTTAAGGCTTCAAAAGGTTAAGTGACTTGTCCAGAAGCATTCAGGCAGTAGGAACAGAGTCAGGATTTGAACCCAGGTCTGTGTGGCTCCCAAACCTGAGGTTCCCACTGCACAATGATTACTGTCTGGGACCTTCTTGCTGGAGGACAATGCAGAGCAGCTGGAGGCCCTGCTTTCTGCACCTCCATGTCCCTAGGAGAGGTGAAGAGCTTCTCTCCAAGTGGTGCAAGTAGGAGGGAGATGTCAATTTTCTGAAAGGCCTGCGCAGAAAGATAGAAAAATAGGGCTTCCTAGGCCAGGCACAGTGGCTCACGCCTGTAATCCCAGCACTTCGGGAGGCCGAGGTGGGTAGATCACCTGAGGTCAGGAGTTTGAGACCAGCCTGGCCAACATGGTGAAACCCCGTCTCTACTAAAAATACAAAAATTAGCTGGGCATAGTGGCAGGTGCCTGTAATCCCAGCTACTCAGGAGGCGGAGGCAGGAGAATCACTTGAACCTTGGAGGTGGAGGTTGCAGTGAGCCAAGATCGTGCCATTGCACTCCAGCCTGGCGGACAAGAGTGAGACTTTGTCTCAAAAAAAAAAAAAGAAAAAAGAAAAGAAAAGAAAAATAGGGCTTCCTCAGAGAGAGTCACTCTCTCTGTGTTTCCCCATCCCCTGCCTCTGGGACTTAACAAAGCAGCACAGAAACAGGCTGGCAGGAGCTGCTACAGATGGTCACCTGGGCTCCAGCACATTCCTGGTGCTCAGATTTGTGAGGGAGCAGCCTCCGAGCCACAACGCCTCATGTAAATCTCTTTGATTTTCTGCTTCATCAGATCAGTAAGAACCCTCTTCAGCATGGCCTGGCAATTTTCTTGGGAGCTTACTGAGAGGAACACCCTGTTTTCTCTGCTCTTAGAGGTAATGGCAGTTCCTGGTCTCCATGCAGGGAGCCTACCCAGCTGCTAAGCTGCTACCTGGATCTCAAGCTGCTACTTGGATTTCATTTTCTTTTTTTTTGAGACGGAGTCTCGCTCTGTGGCCCAGACTGGAGTGCAGTGGCACGATCTCAGCTCACTGCAACCTCTGCCTCCCAGGTTCAAGCAATTCTCCTGCCTCAGCCTCCTGAGTAGCTGGGATTACAGGCACATGCCATCACGCCCGGCTAATTTTTGTATTTTTAGTAGAGACGTGGTTTCACCATGTGGGCCAGGCTGGTCTTGAACTCCCTACCTCATATGATCCACCGCCTCGGTCTCCCAAAGTGCTGGGATATACTTTGGGATATACTTTGGCGTGAGCCGGCACACCCAGCCTCTGGATTTCATTTTCTTTGAGGCCTGGCTCCAGCACATATGCCCAAGTGACTTTAGGCATGTTACTTTACCTCCCTAAGACTCAGTTTCTGTTTCTGTTAAAATGTGTAATTGTGAGGATTAAATTAGATAATGAATTTGTAGGATTTAGTACATATTAAGGCTGGACGCGGTGGCTCACACCTATAATACCAGCACTCTGGGAGGCCGAAGTGGGTGGATCACTTGAGGTCAGGAGTTCAAGACCAGCCTTGGCCAACATGGTGAAACCCCATCTCTACTAAAAATAAAAAATTAGCTGGGCATGGTGGCATGCAACTGTAATCCCAGCTACTCAGGAGGCCGAAGCAGGAGAATCGCTTGAACCCAGGAGGCAGAGGTTGCAGTGAGTCAAGATCACACCACTGAACTCCAGCCTGAGCGACAGAGCAAGACTCTGTCTCATAAAAATAAATAAATAATGGCCAGCCTCGGTGGTTCACGCCTGTAATCCCAGCACTTTGGGAGGCCAAGGCAGGCAAATCACCTGATGTCAGGAGTTTGAGACCAGCCTGGCCAACATGATGAAACCCTGCCTCTACTAAAAATACAAAAATTAGCCAGGCGTAGTGGTGCACACCTGTAGTCCATACTACTCGGGAGGCTGAGGGATAAAAATTGCTTGAACCCAGGAGGCAGAGGTTGCAGCACGCTGAGATCATGCCACTGCACTCCAGCCTGGGCAACAGAGTGAGACTCGACCTAATAAATAAATTAATTAACTAATTAAATATAGGAGTAATTATTATTGCAATTCTCACAAAGTCTGGAACCATGAGGTTTTGTCTCCCAGCACTGTCTAAGAAGCACCTGTCAGCAATCCAAAGTAATTTCAGGCCAGGCTTACTGGCTCATGCCTATAATCCCAATGCTTTGGGAAGCCAAGGCAAGAGGATCACTTGAGCCCAGGAGTTCAAGACCATACTGGGCAACATAGCAAGACCTCATTTTTACATAAAAATTTAAAAATTAGCCAGGCGTGGTAGCACACGCCTGAAGTCCCAGCTACTCAGAAGGCTGAGCATGGCGTATTGCTTGAGCCCAGGAGTTCAGGGCTGCAGTGAGCTATGATCATGCTACTATATTCCAGCCTGGGTAACAGAGCAAGACCCTATCTCAGGAAAAAAAAAAAAAAAAAAAGGAAGAAAAAGAAAAGTAATTCCAAAATAGCTCAAATCCTTAGCTTCACATTTGGCCAAGTGATAGTGGAGATTCCAATGATGTCTACAACAGCACTAAATGAGAATAGCTAGAGGCCTCATTCCTCTACAGTTCACTCTGATCACAGTCCACAGAAGTTAAGGCATCTCTTCAACTCTCCCACCCTCAGTGCCCCCCAAATTCCTTTGAGGTGTTCTCTCTCTCTCTTTATTAGATTAACAGCCTAAGGACCCAAATTCTTCTCCCTGCTGTCATTCTATACAGTCTTCCCCAACATGGTATTCTTTTTTTTGAGACAGGGACTCTGTTGCCCAGTCTGGAGTGCAGTAGCGCAATCTCGGCTCACTGCAACCTTCATCTCCCCCAGGTTCAAGCAATTCCCCTGCCTCAGCCTCCCAAGTAGCTGAGATTACAGGTGCCCGCCACCATGCCTGGCTAATGTTTGTATTTTTAGTAGAGACAAGGTTTCACCATGTTGGCCAGGCTGGTCTCGAACTCCTGGCCTCAAGTGATCTGCCCGCCTTGGCCTCCCAAAGTGCTGGGATTACAGGCATGAGCCACTGTGCCCAGCTAACATGATTCTTTTTTTTTTTTTTTTTTTTTTTTTGAGACAGAGTTTTGCTCTTGTTGCCCAGGCTGGAGTGCAATGGTGTGATCTCGGCTCACTGCAACCTCCGCCTCCCGGGTTCAAGCTATTCTCCTGCTTTGGCCTCCCGAGTAGCTGGGATTACAGGCATGCACCACCATGACCAGCTGATCTCGTATTTTTAGTAGAGACAGGGTTTCTCCATGTTGGTCAGGCTGGTCTCGAACTCCTGACCTCAGGTGATCCACCCACCTTAGCCTCCCAAAGTGCTGGGATTACAGGTGTGAGCCACCGCGCCCACTGGTATTCTTGATTATATATCACAGAAGTGCAAACACCTAACTGCCCTCCAAGGAGATTTGGAAAAGAAGTTGAACATGAAAAGAACGATTATGCAAGGCTGGGCGCGGTGGCTCACGCCTGTAATCCCAGCACTTTGGGAGGCCAAGGAGGGCGGATCACTTGAGCTCAGGCGTTTGAGAGCAGCCTGGCCAACATGGTGAAACCCCGTCTCTACAAAAACATACAAAAATTAGCAGGGTGTGTTGGCTGGGCGCCGTGGCTCACGCCTGTAATCCCAGCACTTTGGGAAGCCGAGGCAGGGGGGATCACGAGGTCAGGAGATTGAGACCATCCTGGCTAACACAGTGAAACCCCGTCTCTAATAAAAATACAAAACAATTAGCTGGGCTTGGTGGTGGGCGCCTGTAGTTCCAGCTACTCGGGAGGCTGAGGCAGGAGAATGGTGTGAACCTGGGAGGCGGAGCTTGCAGTGAGCCGAGATCGCACCACTGCACTCCAGCCTGGGCGACAGAGCGAGAATCCGTCTCAAAAAAAAAAAAAAAATTAGCAGGGCATGGTGGCATGCGCCTGTAGTCCCAGCTACTCTGGAGGCTGAGGTGGGAGGATTGCTTGAACCCAGGAGGCAGAAGTTGCAGTGAGCCGAGATCACACCACTGCACTCCAGCCTGGGCAACAGAGTGAGACTCCATCTCAGAAAAAAAAAAACAAAAAAACAAATACGCAGGGGTCAGGGAAGGCTGTGAGCTTTGGTCTGCTACAATGAGTTTCAGGCTCACTCCCATGCCCTGCCTCCTAGTACTGCGGTTGGAAGCAGAGGAGATGTGCTTAGAGGACGGAGATGAGAAGCAGGAGGAACAGCAGCAGCTGCAGTTTGTATTCTGGTTTGCTTTTCTCCTGGAAACAGAATCTCTCAGAAGATACCTCCTCAGTCCTCAAAAGGGTGCATTTCAGGTTGGCTCTCCTCTTGTTGGCCCTCGCTGGCCCCCGTCTCACTCTGGAGTCTTTGATTCCACATGGATAAACAGCCCCCCTAGTTGAGAGCTCCTCAACTGCCCCAGGGGACATTTTATGGAGTTAGGGGTGGCAAGGAACTGGAATTATTGCCTAATCAATTGCAGTCTCTCTCCTGTACCCCCCAAGAGAGCAAAGTCTAAAGCCAACTCACAAACTCACATTTTCAACTTTCACCCATGCCCTGAAAAAGTGTTAACACTGGAACCCCACAGCCTACCGTGAAGAATCGATTCCACAAAGAAGGGAGAGCCTTCCCAGTCTGCCCCCTTTCAGACCTTCCTCAAAGAACTCCTGAGCTGTGCTGCCTCCCTAAGCTGTCCCCATGCGAGGATGATAGTGAGATGTGTAATGGGCCTACTGTGACAGCCAGCCCTCCTTGCAAGGGAGCCCTGCCACGGGTGCAAGCTCTGGATCAAGGCAGGAAGCTGCGGCCCATGGTTACCATGGAGATGCTGGCACAGCCTATACCCATCTGTGGTTGACAGGCAGCCTTCCTGAGGAAAGGGGAGGAATTTGGGTGCTTGAAAACCAGCTTGTGGTGGGGGTCGGGTCGGGGTTGTCTGTGACATCATGAGTTTGCAGCCAAAAGACAACTGGAGAGGAAGCTGAGGCTGGGAGCTCTCCACTGAGGTAGCCTTCAGCCGACGCTGTAGCTTTAAAAGCTGGGGTGTGGCCTCCTGCAGAGTGAGGCCAAGCTACAGAGCTGTCAACTCCAAGCAAGGGCTGTTGGAAGAAGCTCTGGTACAGTGGAAAAAACCCAGGAGTCAGAGACTAGAGGGAGAACCACACCCACAGTGCCAGGCATGTTGTGAAGGTCATGGTACATGGTGCAGAGAAGAAACCTCTAGGGTGCTTGGGAAGTTCTAGGCCCTGAGTCACCACCACTGAAACACTAGGGCGGACCAAGAAAACTTCCCGTCTCTTCTCTGAGCACGAAGTCTCCACTGTGTGACTAATGTCTGCCCTGTGGGCTAGGCAGGGTTACTGAGAGGCCCTGCAGCATAAGTGAGGCAGGGGCAGGTGTCAGGGGCTGGTGATCTCCCTCTGATTCAGTGGGTAAAGGAAGACCAAGGCTATGAGGATTTCTCTGAGGCTTTCATCCCTTCTGTGGCTAAAACTGGAGTATGAGCTCAGTGAAACTGTCCTTTGAGAGAGCCTGACGCTGCAAGTGTGTTTGTACAAAAGGCAGAGCTCGGCCTTGTACACCCAAGGGCCATGCAAGGCTAATGCAGCACCAGGGAGAGGGAGGCTAATTAGATAAAGCCCTGAAGTAGCCCTGTGAGCCAGAGGAGCTGTCTGGACCTTCCTGTAGCCTTGGGCAGGGGAGGGAGCTAGGGAGTATTTATTACTTTTGCCCTTTGAAATCCAGGAAGCAAAGGGCTAAGTACTTGCTTACTATCCTCCCAGACTGTGAGACAGGAAGTCAGAGGTACAGAGTGGTGAGTTTGAAATCCACTTGGCCACTTTCCCGCTGTGTGGCCTGGAGCAATTCAATGTTTTGTGTTTTGGCAATATCACCAGTTAAATATTAAAGCTCCTGCTTTCCTCTTCTGGTCAGGGTGAAAACACCCTGAGAGAATGCTTGTGAAAGCCACCACAGCTACACGCAAGGGAAGGACCTGATGTCCTTTATCTGGCCACAGAAGAAGCCTTCTCCACATCGGCACCGGCCCCCCACAGCCTGAGCTCCCTCCTGAGCATCTGAGGAGTTTTCTTTGACTCCTCATAAGAGAATCTCAGGCTTCCCTTCTAGCACCCTACAGAAATGAGTAGGGCTGCCTTTTCAGGGCAGTGTCCTCTGAGCAGGCTCAAAGAACAGGGCAGAGAGCCCCCTTGTCCAGCAGAACCTAATTTTTAAAATTTTTTGTAGGGACAAGGTCTTACTGTGTTGCCCAGGCTGGTCTTGAACTCCTGGTTTCAAATAATCCTCCCATCTAGGCCTGCTAAAGTGTTGGAATTACAGGCATAAGCCACTGTGTTGGGACAAGAGATATATATATATATATATATATATTTTTTTTTTTTTTTGAGACAGAGTCTTGCTCTGTCACCCAGGCTGTAGTGCAGTGGCACGATCTTTGCTCACTGCAACCTCTGCCTCCCAGGTTCAAGCAATTCTCCTGTCTCAGCCTCCCGAGTAGCTGGGACTACAGGCACCCGCCACCACGCCTGGCTAATTTTTGTATTTTTTAGTAGAGTCGAAGCTTCGCCATGTTGGCCAGGCTGGTCTTGAATGCCTGACCTCATGATCCACCTGCCTCAGCTTCCCAAAGTGCTGGATTACATGCATGAGCCACCACGCCCCGCCAAGTTTTTTTGTTTTGTTTTGTTTTGTTTGTTTGTTTGTTTGTTTGTTTTTTATTGGGAAGGAGTCTCGCTCTGTCTTGCCCAGGGTGTAGTACAGTGGCATGATCTCGGCTCACTGCAACCTCTGCCTCCCAGGTTCAAGCGATTCTCCTGCCTCAGCCTCCTGAATAGCTGGGATTACAGGAGCCCACCACCACACCCACCTAATTTTTGTATTTTAGTAGAAACAGGGTTTCTCCATGTTGGCCAGGCTGGTCTTGAATGCCTGACCTCAAGTGATCCACCCGCCTCGGCCTCCCAAAGTGCTGGAATTATAGGCGTGAGCCATTGCGCCAGGCCCAAGATAGTTTTTTTTTTTTTTGAGACAGAGTCTTGCTCTGTCGCCCAGGCTGGAGTGCAGTGGCACGATCTCGGCTCACTGCAAGCTCCTCTTCTCAGGTTCACGCCATTCTCCTGCCTCAGCCTTCCGAGTAGCTGGGATTACAGGCGCCCGCCACCACGCCCGGCTAATTTTTTAAATTATTATTATTTTTAGTAGAGACGGGGTTTCACCCTGTTAGCCAGGATAGTCTCAATCTCCTGACCTCGTGATCCCCCGGCCTCGGCCTCCCAAAGTGCTGGGATTATAGGCGTGAGCCACCGCGCCTGGCCAAGATAGTTTTTGTTAACAAATTTAACAAACACCCACCAGTGTACTGGGCATTTGGGATCCTGTTTTGGAACTAATATGGGGGACAAGAGGATGGCAGGCATAGGTTTCCTGTCGCCATAGGCATTTCTCCCTTATCTCAGGAGCAGTCCTGATCACTTCCCAAAATGGGGAGCGCTTTGCCTCTGAGTCCTGAGCATTGTAAAAATGAAGGTGTGTTGTGTGGAAGCTGGACTCACTACCGCAGAGCCTCCTTGGACATTACAGCTGGAAGAAAGAGGCCCTTTTTTTTCTTTTTGAGATGGAGTCTCGCTCTGTCGCTCAGGCTGGAGTGCAGTGGCGCTGTCTGGGCTCACTGCAACCTCCGCCTCCTGGGTTCGATGCTCGTACCTCAGCCTCCTGAGTAGCTAGCATCACAAGAGCCCACTATAGAGCCCGGCTAATTTTTGTATTTTTAGTAGAGATGACATTCCGCCATGTTGGCCAGGCTGGTCTTGAACTCCTGACCTCAAGCGATCCACCTGCCTCGGCCTCCCAAAGTGCTGGGATTACAGGCATGAGCCACCGCACCCGGCCAAGAGAGATCCTTTTATGTTTGCAGTCAAGGGTGCTGAGGCTACAGAGGGAATGCAACTGCCACAATGTTACCCAGGTGTCCATGACATAGCTGGGGTAAGAATACATGTTTCCTGACCCCCAGGCCAGTGTCCCCTATCCATCAGCTGCCCCGTCGTCTCTGTCCCGCCATGCCCATCACTGTCCTTGCCACCCAAGGTGTCAGAGGGAAAGGCTATCACAACTTTTCATGGTCCTCCCCTGCTGTGATTAGACAACAGACAGTTTCTGCTTGTGGGTGCCACTGGTGACTGTCTGGCTTGAAGGGGCCTTGGGACTCCCTCTGCAGCACTGATTTTGGGGGCCCTGGGTTTGGAAGTCACTTAAATTCTGGTGACAGTCTTTGCTCTGGAACTTCTCAGTGGGATGGGAAGCTTGAGGCCCAAATCCCAGCCAGGGAAAGAGGGAGAGAAAGGACACAGCTGCTACTTATTTCCTGGGTTAGGAAGTGGCTGGGAAGGAATCTAGAGTTTTTGAGATGGATTTTATTAGGGAACAGTGTGAGGAATGAATTCTGGAGGGAATGATGGTCCAAGCCAAAAGAGGAAATGCAGGCAGCATCTTGTGCCTGAGGATGAGCCTTGCCTGGAGGAGGAGCGGGTGAGGAGGAGGAGACAGGCATTAGGGGACCAGGGGTTGTCACCCAGGAGAACCTGAACAGTCAGGGTGGAGTCTTCTGGCATCCATTCCTGTCATCTGAGAGACAGATGGGGCTTGGGATGAGGAGAGGGACATGAAGGAGTTTCTCAGGAGCAGGTGCCTGCTCTCATGCCAAAGAGAGGAGCCTCTACTTTGGTACGTACATAGTAGGCCCTGGTATCTCAGGAACAGAGACTGATGAGGTTGTCTGCATCTTGGGCCCTGCAACTCAGGAAAGCCATCAGTTTTGCAACCACAGAAAAGGTAAAAAAAAGAGTCAGGCTGTCAGTGAGGGTTTGAAGGGACTGTGGGGCTGTCTAGGGTTGTATGAGAAGTGTATGTTCTGAACACATGTGGTTGGAGCTGTATATGGTCTGTACATGTTGTAGATCTGTATGTTGTGTATTACTAAAAAAAATCCTGGTGCCTTCCTTTCCTTACTCTGTTGCCCAGGCTGGAGTTCAGTGGTGTAAGCATGACTTACTGCAGCCTCAATCTCCTGGGCTCAAGCAATCCTCCTGCTTCAGGCTCCCAAAGTCCTAGGATTACAAGTGTCGGCCACGGGCTGGGCACAGTGGCTCACGCCTGTAATCCCAGCATTTTGGGAGACAGATCTGGGTGGATCACGAGGTCAGAAGATCGAGACCATCCTGGCCAACATGGTGAAACCTCGTCTCTACTAAAAATACGAAAAAATTAGCTGTGTGTAATGGTGCGCGCCTGTAGTCCCAGCTACTCGGGAGTCTGAGGCAGGAGAATAGCTTGAACCCGGAAGGCGGAGCTTGCAGTGAGCGGAGATCGCGCCTCTGCACTCTGGCCTGGCAACAGAGCGAGACTCCATCTCAAAAACAATCAACCAACCAACCAAACAAACAAGAACAAAAAAACAAGTGTTGGCCGGGCGCGGTGGCTCACGCCTGTAATCCCAGCACTCTGGGAGGCCGAGGGGGGCGGATCATAAGGTCAGGAGATCGAGACCATCCTGGCTAACACGGTGAAACCCCGTCTCTACTAAAAATACAAAAAATTAGCCGGGCGCGGTGGCAGGCGCCTGTAGTCCCACCTACTCGGGAGGCTGAGACAGGAGAATGGCGTGAACCCCGGAGGCGGAGCTTGCAGTGAGCCGAGATTGCGCCACTGCACTCCAGCCTGGGCGACAGAGTGAGACTCTGTCTCAAAAAACAAAAAAAACAAAAAAAAACAAATGTCAGCCAGCATACCCTGTCTCCCCCAAATTTCTTAGCCTGGCATTTAAGGCTAAAGATTAACCAGACTCACCATGTATTTTCCTGCCCCTGTGCATTTTATTCATGCTTTGTTCTCTGCTTTCTCAGCCCCTGATCTTTACCAATTAAAATCCTCTTCTAGCTGCAGCTCAGATGCTACCTCTTCCAGGAAGCCTTTTTTGGTATCCTTACCCAAATGCCCTCTCTCCTCTGAATGGCAGAGCACTTTTCTCTACCTCTTTTGCAGTAGTTACATTCTCTTATGCATTCTGACTATTAAGGGCGAGGCTGTCAGTTTCCTCCACTAAATACGAAAGTCTTCGAAGGCTTATAAGTTTGTTGTATTCATTTTTGTATCCCCAATACCTAGCACAGTCCCTTTACATAGCAGGCATTTAATTCAAAATATATTTGTTAAACAAATAAATGTATGTGTTGGGTTATGGAGATAAATGAGAAACTTGTGGGGTTTTTTTGTTTGTTTTCTGAGATGGAGTCTTGCTCTGTCACCCAGGCTGGAGTGCAGTAGCGCAATATTGGCTCACTGCAACTTCCGCCTCCTGAGTTCAAGCAATTCTCCTGCCTCGGCCTCCCGAGTAGCTGGGATTACAGGTGCCTGCCACCGCACCCGGCAAATTTTTGTGTTTTTAGTAGAGACAAGGTTTCACCATGTTGTCCAGTTTGTCTCGAACTCCTGACCTCGTGATCCGCCAGCCTCGGCCTCCCAAAGTGTTGGGATTACAGGGGTGAGCCACCGTGCCCAGCCTTTTTGTTGTTGTTGTTGTTTGTTTTTGAGACAGGGTTTCACTCTGTCTCCCAGGCAGGAGTGCAGTGGAGCGATCATAGCTCACTGCAGCCTCAACCTTCTGGACTCAAGCAATTCTGCCACCCTAGTCTCCCGAGTAGCTGGGACTACAGGCACACGCCACCATGCCCAGCTAATTTTTTTTTTCTCGTAGAGATGAGGTCTTGTTATTTTGCCTAGGCTGCTCTCAAACTCCTGGGCTAAAGCGATCCTCCTGCCTCAGCCTCCCAAAGTGCTGGTATTAGAAGGATGAGCCACTGTGCCCGGTGCTAGGAAAACTTCTTGCCCTGTGCTAGGAAAACATTTTTTCCTAGTGGAAAGAAAGTTTCCCAGTGGAAAAAAAGTTTATTTGCACTAGGAGCTTACAGTTCAGTGACAGAGACATATACAAATATGAATTAATTTATTTGGGAGGCTGAGGTAGGCAGATGGCTTGGGCCCAGGAGTTCAAGACGAGGCTGGACAACATGGAGAAACCCCGTCTCTACTAAAAATATAAAAATTAGCCGGGCATTGTGGTGCACACTTATAGTTACAGCTACTCAGGAGGCTGAGGTGGGAGGATCACCTGAGCCTGGGATGTGGAGGTTGCATACAGTGAGCTGAGATTGCACTGGGTCACAGAGGGAGACCCTGTCTCAAAAAAAAGGAATATATTGAGTGCTGGTTATGTGGGGCTCAGGTGGGTAGGGATGATGGCAAAGGAGAGGGCACTCAGAGTGAAGGAACTCCCTAGGTGGAAGGCTTGAGGTGAGAGAGTACATGGCACATTTGGAGAATGTGGTGCGTAGCCCTGGGACTGGTACATAGGAAGCATGAAGGAAAATAGATAAAACCAGAGAGGGGATGTGGGCGCTGGATCACAGGGGTTTGGCTGTGTCTTTCCAAAGTGTTTGGACTTTATTCTTGAGGCAATGAGGGGCCACCGAATGCTCTTAAGGAGGCGTATAATAAATACAAGATGAAGGAATGACTCAGCACTATGTTTTGGATGGACAGCATCCTGCAGCCAGGGCCATTTTAGGAAAATCTTACAGTGGGTGCTAAGCAGCATCTATTCTCTGAGGCCAGCTTGTCCCTTGGTTAAACCACCTCTTTATGGGATTTTCCCTTTAAAAAAATTTTACTGATACATAATAGTTGTACATATGCATGAGGTACATGTGACATTTTGATACAAGCATAAAATGTATAATGATCAAATCTGGGGAACTGGTATATCCATCACCTCAAATATTTGTGATTTCTTTGTGTTGGGCACATTCTGAATCTTCTAGCTATTTTGAAATATACAATAAGTTATTAACTATACTCGCCCTATCTAACTGTATTTTTGCACCCATTAACCAATCCCTCTTCATCCTTCATCCCCACTATCCTCCCCAACTTGTGGTAACCACCATTCTATTCACTACCTCCATAAGACCAAATTTTTTAGTTCCCACATGAGTGAGAACATGCGATGTTTGCCTTTCTGTGCCAGTTTATTTCACTTAACATAATGACCTCCAGTTCCATCCATGTTGCTGCAAATGACAGGATTTCATTCTGAAATAGCTGAATAGTATTTCACTGGGTATATACAGCACATTTTTTTCTTCTTTTTTTAAATTTTTTTTTTTGAGACAGGGTCTTGCTCTGGATTGCAGTGGTGACATCACAGTTCACTGCAGCCTGGACCTCCCTGGGTCAGGTGATCCTCCCACCTCAACCTCCTGGGTAGATGGGACTACAGGCATTTACCACCATCCTCAGCTAATTTTTTTTTTTGTATTTTTTGTAGATATGGGGGTTCACCATGTTGCCCAGGCTGGTCTTGAACTCCTGGGCTCAATCTGCCTGCCTCAGCCTTCCAAAGTGCTGGGATTACAGGCATGAGCCACCATGTCCAGCCCCTCTGCTTCCTGGGTTCAAGCAATTCTCCTGCTTCAGCCTCCCAAGTAGCTGGGGATTACAGGCATGTACCACCACGCCCGGCTAATTTTTTTATTTAGTAGAGATGGGGTTTCATCATGTTGGTCAGGCCGGTCTTGAACTCCTGACCTCAGGTAATCCGCCCACCTCGGCCTCCCAAAGTGCTGGGATTAGAGGCATGAGCCACTGCACCTGGCCAACACATTTTCTTTATCATCCATCCATTGATGACACTTAGATTGAGTTCATCCATACTTCAGCTATTGTGAATAGTGCTGCAATAGTCATGGGAGTGCAGATATCTGTTTGATATACTGATTTCGTTTCTTTTGGATATATACTCAGATTGCTGGATCATATGGAAGTTGCAGTTTTAGTTTTTTGAGGGGTCTCCATACTGTTTTCCATAGTGACTGTGCTAGGGGTTTTCCCTTTTGAAGAGGCCACATCCAAAGAACACTTGGTCAGATTAAGAATTCTGTTCTGTCCCCTGAAAGTGTTTTCTGACCTGTTCCAAGGGTTCCACATTCTTCTCTGGCTTTAGTACAGAAGTTCTACTGTTTGGATTGTATTAGTCAGGGTTCTATATTAGTCAGGGTTCTCCAGAGAAACAGAACCAATGGAAGAATATATATAAAGAGATTTATGAGGAGGAATTTACTTATGTGTTTATGCAGGCAGAGAAGTCCCATGATCTTGCCATCTGCAAGCTGGAGACTCAGGAAAGCTGGTGGTATAAATTCCAGTTCGAGCCCAAAGGCCTGAGAATCAGGAGAGCCAAGGGTCTAAGTCCCAGTCTAAGGGCAGAATACCAAGGTCTCAGCAGATACACCCATTGGCACCCACAGCCTCTTCTGAGCCTGGGACTGGTTTGGGCCCCCTAGATAATTTCTTGCCCTTTGTATGGAGTGATGTGGGACAACATCCTATAATAGAGAGAAAATCATAGGCTTTGGGGTTAGTCAGCACTGGGTTAAAGTCTCAGCCAAAATCACTTACTAGCTGCACTACCTTAGCAAAGTCACTTACCTTTCTGAGCCTTGGTTTCCATATCTGAAAAATGGGGATAATTATGCCTACTCCAAAGGATGAGTATGGGGATTACCTAGCTGGCTGCCAGCACCATAGCAGGTGCTCAGTAAATGGTATTTGTTTTATTCATATTTGTGGAGTCAAATACTGGCTGTTGTTCTGCCTAAGAAGCCTGAAGCTGTGCTTGGAGCAAGCTGTTGCTAGGTATCATAAATTAGGGGAATGAAGACTCTACCTAGTTTATCTTCACAGGTCATCTCAGAGTGCCCCAACCCAAGCCTTTCAGGTGAAAATTCTTCGTCTCCCCAGCCAACTTCAGCTCTCTGCCTTCTGCACACCTCTTCCCAGCAGCAGTGGTCACATTTGGTAGGCAGGCAGGGGCCCAGCCCTGACTGAGAACACTGTTGCAAAGACTGAGAAACCGGAAAACACTGTGGCAATCTGCCCTGCCCTGAGGTACTCTGAAGAATCAGTGGCCCACCCCTAAACTTTCCAGCTGTGTGTTTGAGGTGAGAGCCCCATTTCAGAACCTAGAGTGATCTTAGAATCTAGAGTGATGGGAAAACTGTTAGAACATGCAAGCATGCCCTGCTATTTTTTTTTTTTTTTTGAGACAGGGTCTCACTATGCTGCCCAGGCTAGTCTCGAACTCCTGGCCTCAAGCAGTCCTCCCACCTCAACCACATTGGTGCTGGGATTACAGGCATGAGTCACTGCACCTGGCCCCTTGTGCTATTTTGGAGCTGAGGTTAGAGTTTTCCGTCAAAACCAAGAAACTCAGTTATGGATCTATCTCAAAGCTGCACTGGGCTGCTGCTGTAGGTTCAGGGAGTAAGTAAAGCCATCCACCCCTTTGGGCTGAAAGTTCCAGCCCTCTAATTCCCTAATCATTTGGTCTTTCCCATGACTGGCTCCTTCCTGAGGCTATCTAAGACTCCTCATTCATTAACATTAAGTCAGGGAAAAAGGCTCTTTATAAATAACAAAAGACATTCCTATCAGAAAATTCAGGAAATTTTGGCATACTCAAGGGCTTACCAAATATATTTCATAATATACCCCACAGTGGGGAAGTATTGGTACAAATTAAAGAAGAGATGGAGGAGGGCGGGCTAGGCAATGGAATCAGCAAGAATACAGGCCCAGAGGTAAGTATGATAAGAAAACAAAAAATTGAGCTGGGCACGGTGGCTCACGCCTGTAATCCCAGCTCTTTGTGAGGCCGAGGCGGCCAGATCACTTGAGGCCAGGAGTTTGAGATCAGCCTGACCAACATGGTGAAACCCCGTCTCTACTAAAAATTACAAAAATTAGCCGGGCGTGGTGGCGCCTGGCTGTAATCCCATCTTCTCAGGAGGCTGAGGCAGGAGATTCGCTTGAACCCGGGAGGCGGAGGTTGCAGTGAGCCGAGATCAGCCCACTGCACTCCAGCCTGGGCGACAGAGCGACTCCGTTTCAAAAAAAAAAAAATTAATAATTAAAAAAAAAATCGCAGGGCAAGTGGGCGCGCTTGTAGTCCCAGTCACTTCGGGGAGCCGAGGTGGGAGGATCGCTTGAGCCAGAAGGTCGAGGCTGCAGGAAGCCATGATCACGCCACTGCCCTCCAGCCTGGGTGACAGAGTGAGACCCTGTCTCGAAAAATACCAAAAAACAAATAAACAAACAAAAAACCAAAACCAAAAAAACAAGCCACTGACAGTTCTTGGGTATGGTTGAGACTCGAGATGAGATGCCAGTGGGGTGGGCAGTAGAAAGTGCAGAATAAAATGTACATTTGAACTGAGTCACCCTGCAAGGCCTGAGAGGCCAAGGCTTCACTGTGAGTGGGAGCTGGTAGGCTTAGCAGCAGAGGGAAAAGCAGCGTCGAGTTTTGGAGGTCACTCGACTTAGGTAAGAACAGACTGACTGACTGCTAGGCATTTTCTTCCTTTCGTTCAACAAATATTTGTGGAGTGCCTATTACGTGCCAGAAGCTGTTCTGGACACTGAGAAACAGGGATGAAGAAGAAACAGATCCAAGCCTTCCTGAGAGTAACCTCCCCAGGTTTCATGGATGAGGAAACTGAAGGTCGTCCTGACTCAGGCTCATGGCTCCGACCCCGGCTTCTGTGGTTGGAGGGCAGCACCTTACTTAGACTCCCAGCGCACGTGGAGCAGTCTGCCGGTCGGTTGTCTGGCTGCGCGCGCCACCCGGGCCTCTCCAGTGCCCCGCCTGGCTCGGCATCCACCCCCAGCCCGACTCACACGTGGGTTCCCGCACGTCCGCCGGCCCCCCCCGCTGACGTCAGCATAGCTGTTCCACTTAAGGCCCCTCCCGCGCCCAGCTCAGAGTGCTGCAGCCGCTGCCGCCGATTCCGGATCTCATTGCCACGCGCCCCCGACGACCGCCCGACGTGCATTCCCGGTACGGTAGGGCCCTGCGCGCACGGCGCCAGAGGGATGGGCGGGTAGAGCCAACTGCCTCTGGTTCTGCTGGCCTCCGCTGCTCGCGAAGGGATTCCTGCTCCCGGGAGGTGTAGGAGCCGCTTTCCAGAAGCACAGCCCAGAGACGTCTGGGCGGCGGCCCACACAACGCATGTGTTCGGAGCTCGCCGCGCTCTGCTTTTGCTCTAAGCGGGAACCATGGCTTCTGGCCACGCTGGGGAACCGAGGAGGTGGCCGCACCCAAGCAGGGGTCGAAAGCCCGGGTGGATGCGGAACAAGGATATGATAGGCCTTAAGGGTGGGGGATACCTCTGGGCTCGAAATCGGCGGGCGGTGCAAAACTCGAGGTCCAGTTCTCGGAGCCCATAGAGCCAAAAAAGCCTCAGCTTGTCCGGGGCGGGTTCTTGAAAGACGGAAAGCGGCTGAGTACCACGCGGCTTGCATTTTTCTCTTGGGACGCTCGAGAGGTGGGCTCCGTGAGGGCAGCTGCTGCCTGCAGATTATAGGGAGCCCTTTGCGCATTTATTAAGAAGCTACTGGTGTATCTCGGGCTGCGCTAGGCACGGCGCATGCAAAGATGAAGCAGGCAGCATCCCAGCCCTTCCGCACCTCAGACGGTCAGTTGAGTAGGATCCGCCGGTACCAACTCCTCCTTTTAACAAATAGGGAGACCGAAAGCTAGGAGACAGTCAGGGATCTCTAAGTTCCCAGTGAGTAGGAGGCAGAGGTGAGGTGTAGAACTCGTTTTTGCATGTCTCTCGCCTCTAGACGCACCCTTCCCTCATCCCATGCCCTCCCACCTCCGCCCCTACATTAAAGGTAGCATTGGATCCCGGGGCCGTTCAGTGAAGCTAGCAGGTGTCCGCAGGAACTCCCTTCCCCCTGCCAGGCTAGAAACCTTACAAGGCTGTCTAGAAATAGCAGTGATTTGTAAGGAGAGACCCGGCTCCAGCTTGGTGACTCTGGGCTGACTGCCTGCCTAGAGGTCCTCTCGGATTTTTGCCCTTTGGAGTGGTGTCAAAACTAGACGTGATACTTTGGGGATGCAGCCTGTGATATTTCCTCCAGCGAATGCAGTGCAGGGTTGGATTAACAAGGTGGAAAGAATTCGAGGGTTCCACCAAGTAGCTATTAACTCTAGGGCTGCAGGCCTCAGGCCTTCTGCAGCTATTTCTACACTCCCTGTACTGAAACTATTTCTTCATACTGGGCCTGACAGGCCTTTGCAACAAGGATCACGGCCGAAGCCACACCGTGCGCCTCCCTCCCGGTTGGTTAACAGGCCCTGGTTTCTAGTATTGCGATTTAAAGTCTGGCGCTGGCTGCGCGCCAGACCTGGGAGGCTGCCAGCTAGGCTTCACGTTGCTGGCGTCTGCTTCGGGGCATTCATTAGGTCTGAAGTCTGAATCCCAGCTCCCTCCCTCTCACCCACTGAGCTGCATAGCTCCAGATTGCCTCTGCTTACGGGCGGGGCTTCTCAGCCTTCTGCCTTCTGGCCCGATGCCCGCTTCCCAACGGCCGGAGGCCGCTAGACTAATCGGCTTCGCCCTGCGCGCTGTAATGCGCATGCGCACGCGCACAAGTTCCTGGGCCCGCCCATCTTCCGGACTTGGGCGGGGCGTAAAAGCCGGGCGTTCGGAGGACCCAGCAATTAGTCTGATTTCCGCCCACCTTTCCGAGCGGGAAGGAGAGCCACAAAGCGCGCATGCGCGCGGATCACCGCAGGCTCCTGTGCCTTGGGCTTGAGCTTTGTGGCAGTTAATGGCTTTTCTGCACGTATCTCTGGTGTTTACTTGAGAAGCCTGGCTGTGTCCTTGCTGTAGGAGCCGGAGTAGCTCAGAGTGATCTTGTCTGAGGAAAGGCCAGCCCCACTTGGGGTTAATAAACCGCGATGGGTGAACCCTCAGGAGGCTATACTTACACCCAAACGTCGATATTCCTTTTCCACGCTAAGGTATGGGCCTTCACTCTTCACAGACCCTGTCATTAGGCCTTTCAACTCTCTTTTGGCAACCATTAGGTTTTTTCCCCTCCCTTTTTAGTCATCTCTAGTGATTTATAGTGGCAAATACCCCCAAAGGAAGTAAAATAGCTTAAAAAAATCTCTTGGTTAATAAACATTAAAGAAGCTGTAGTGACACTAAATGTTTTTCCTCCTATAGATTCCTTTTGGTTCCAAGTCCAATATGGCAACTCTAAAGGATCAGCTGATTTATAATCTTCTAAAGGAAGAACAGACCCCCCAGAATAAGATTACAGTTGTTGGGGTTGGTGCTGTTGGCATGGCCTGTGCCATCAGTATCTTAATGAAGGTAAGTGAGAGTCTACCACACTGGAAGCCCATACCTTGACCCCATCCTCTACCCCCACTCCTACCCCTAGAACTGTATTATTACATTTCATGTAACAGTATTTAGATTTATGCACTCATTCGGATAACTTTCTGTGAAACAAACTTTTGAAATATGATAATACACCAAAAGTGTATCTGAAATTAAAAAGAATCAAAGGTTGTCAGGCTGGAGACCCAGTTCCTAAAATTCATTATTCTGTATTAACATGCATGGATTGACTACCAATGAAAAGGAAGGGTCCATGATTTTAAATGAGCCAAAATTCTTTTAAAGTGATTTTTGAATTGAAAATGACAATTCAAAAATTGTCATTTATTGGTAAAATTATATGGGAAATCATAAGTTCTCCCACTCAAATCTCATTGCCCCTGTGCCTTGGATAGCAATTTTGTTATCAATTATGGAGCTAAAATTTAATTAGAAAAAAGAAATTGTGAGTAAAGCACTCCTTATTACACTATTGAAAGCTGATTTATATTTAAAAGAAATTGAGGCAGCTTACAACATTAAAATGTCTGAGGCGGGGCACAGTGGCTCATGCTTGTAATGCCAGCACTTTAGGAGGCTGAGGTGGGTGGATCACGAGGTCAGGAGATGGAGACCATCCTGGCTAACACGATGAAACCCCATCTTTACTAGAAATACAAAAAATTAGCCGGGCGTGGTGGCATACGCCTATAGTCCCAGCTACTTGGGAGGCTGAGGCAGGAGAATTGCTTGAACCCAGGAGGTGGAGGTGGCAGTGACCCGAGATAGCACCACTCCACTCCAGCCTGGGCGACAGTGAGACTCCATCTCAAAAAAAAAAATCTGAAGTTAAGATGTGGAGTGTCTAATAAAAGTAAAATGATGAATTCTGGGTTCTAAATAGAAATGGATTCAAGTGAGAAGGGACTAAAGACAGAAATGAGCTATGAAAAGGCCTCGTAACAACACAGGTGACTCTACATATGTTCTTAGGAAAGGCCACATAATACACCAACTTTTATTCCTTACCCACTAGATGAGAAATTGATGCTGTTTTCCCCACACCTACAAACCGCCTATGTTTTTTCTCTGTGATGGCCTCTGGCTCAGGTGTGGGTAAGAAGAGTAACTGACACTCATTATATTGTGGATGATTTAGGGATAGATCTGCAGCTTGAATAACTTTTGGTAACGATAGACCACATCCAGTTGTATTAAAGCTGTTATTGGTGCTCCTGGCCTGAAATGGACCTATGAACTTTGAGTTGCAACTATAAGGATATTTTTTGCCAGTATTATACACTGCACAAACCTATTTATCCATAACTGTTAGTATTGGTTCATATATGGAATCAACCAGGGAATAGTTCAGATTCCATCTCTGAAAGATGGGCGGAAATCAGACTTTTTAACTTTTTAAGTTTTTTTTTTTTGAGACGGAATCTCGCTTTGTTGCCCTGGCTGGAGTGCAGTGGCACGATCTTGGCTCACTTGACCTCCTGGGTTCAAGTGATTCTCCTGCCTCAGCCTCCCGAGTAGCTGGGACTACAGGCACCCACCGCCACGCCTGGCTGATTTTTGTATTTTTAGTAGAGACAGGCCTTCACCATATTGGCCAGGCTGGTCTTTTTTTTTTTTTTTTTTTTTTTTTTCTGAGAAGGAGTCTCGCCGTGTCGCCCAGGCTAGAGTGCAGTGGCGTGAACTCCGCTCACTGCTAGCTCTGCCTCCCGGGTTCATACCATTCTCCTGTCTCAGCCTCCCAAGTAGCTGGGACTACAGGCACCCACCACCACGCCTGGCTAAATGTTTGTATTTTTTAGTAGAGACGGGGTTTCACCATGTTAGCCAGGATGGTCTCGATCTCCTGACCTCGTGATCCGCCTACCTTGGCCTCCCAAAGTGCTGGGATTACAAGCGTGAGCCACCGTGCCTGGCCTGGCCAGGCTGTCTTGAACTCCTGACCTCAAGTGATGTGCCCGCCTCGGCCTCCCAAAGTGTTGGGATTACAGATGTGAGTCACTATGCCCGGCCAGAACATTTCTTACTAATTTCAAGTCTTGATGCTGGTCAATATCACCTAGTTAAATGAATAACAACCTAAAATTGGTGTGTAGGATGGAATTTGAGAGAGTAGACAGAGCAGTTTTATATAATTGGAAGTTATTCTAGCAACTGCCAGTCCAGTGTTCTGCTTCCACATCTGCAGTGGTGGAACTCCTATAGAGCTCGCTTCAGTGGGGAGACAGGGCTGGAGAGAGGGTCAGTGCTATCTATGTAGGGTGTAATCTGTAAGTCAGCTTTTGAAATGGGGTGCCCTCTACTTTGAATATCTCGATACTGTACTAATAAAGTAACAGAACTCTCCTATGCCAGAAATATAGAAATTTTTCATGCTCTTCTAAAAATCTAGAAGTGGCAATTTTCCATTTAACTAAAGATTTGATGTCTTTTAGGACTTGGCAGATGAACTTGCTCTTGTTGATGTCATCGAAGACAAATTGAAGGGAGAGATGATGGATCTCCAACATGGCAGCCTTTTCCTTAGAACACCAAAGATTGTCTCTGGCAAAGGTTGATTTCAACAAGTTTATATTATAATCCATGCTTGACTTAAATTCTTTTTCCAGATGGTCTCCATTTGTTGCTTAGGGTAGAGTGCAGTTGCACAATTATGGCTCACCACAGCCTCGAACCCTGGGCTCAAGCAATCCTCCTTCCACTTCATTACCCCCTCCCCCTCACAAAGAAACTGGGACTATAGGGTATGCTACCATGCCCGGCTAATTTTTTTACTTTTTGTAGAGATGGGGACCCACTGTGTTGCCCAGGCCTGTCTTGAACCACTGGGCTCAAGTGATCCTCCCTCCTTAGCCTTCCGAAGTACTGGGATTGCAGGTGTGAACCACTGTGCCCGGCTTTAGACTTAAATGTTTTATCAGGCTTGAAATCCTAGCTCTTTAAAGATTTTGTTTTAAATGCCGGGTGCAAGAGCCTGGGAACAATTTCACTTAGGTGCCTGTGAATATCAAAGTTTCAATTTCTGGCAAATGGTTTAAAATAGAAATCCAATTTGTCCATGCTATGCAAACCATCTGAATTAGAATGTAATGAGTAAAGCTTAAACCTTAGGTCTGTATTTAACCACATTGTGTTACTTACTTGCCCCCACATCCTTTCACA
The DNA here is from genome assembly GCF_000001405.40 of Homo sapiens. Lineage (NCBI taxonomy): Eukaryota > Metazoa > Chordata > Mammalia > Primates > Hominidae > Homo > Homo sapiens. The sequence goes on from NW_021160006.1 coordinate 151,610, forward strand.
CACGAAGTTGAGAATAGGGTAAATAAATGAGCCTGTTCAGCTAATACTCTTGGCTTGACCCTTTCACACTTAACAGCACCAGCCAAGAAACCTGAATGTGAGCCCAAATAGTGTCTATTTTGATACCTGAAAATCACTGGCCACCTTGCTGATGGGCAACTCCCTTCATCACTGGTTTAACTCTCTTGTGCCATAGGGTATCTAGAAGCAAAATATGTTTGTTAAGTGTAAAGCTGTCTCTGCTTAAAAACAAGTCCCCCTACCACCACCACCACACACACACACACACACACACACACACACACACACACACACACACACACACGAAATTGCCTGTTCCTGGGCTGATAGGACACCAGTTAAGTAGAAACAGGAGTATGGAAGAGTGTGAACGTTGAGCTTGGGGATCAAAAATTTGAGGATATGTAAGAAATTAATAGGAGAATCAAATAATAAACTTGATTTCCTCCAGCTCTCCCTAATTGTAGTTACATAAAGTTACAACTTGACTAAAACTACAAGGAAGATGTTGACATGCTCTTCCTCCATTTAAGAAGCCATAATGATAAAACTCTAAGAACAAGAAAGGTTTGTGGAGCATTTATGGAACAAATTTTTGCTGCCTAGGTAAAATTTATTCTAAAGGCCTTAATCTGGTCATTATTCCCCTTTTCTCTAGACTATAATGTAACTGCAAACTCCAAGCTGGTCATTATCACGGCTGGGGCACGTCAGCAAGAGGGAGAAAGCCGTCTTAATTTGGTCCAGCGTAACGTGAACATCTTTAAATTCATCATTCCTAATGTTGTAAAATACAGCCCGAACTGCAAGTTGCTTATTGTTTCAAATCCAGGTGAGGCTTTTGACTGCATAAAAATTGACAAGCTATAGTAAAACTGATAGTATATGATATATATATTATATATATTTTAAATATTTTGAAATATTTTAAAAAATACATTTTTAAAAATATTTTCGAATATTATTTTAAAATATATATATATATTTTGAGGCGGAGTTTTGCTCTTGTCGCCCAGGTTGGAGTGCAGTGGCGCAATCTGGGCTCACTGCAACCTCTGCCTCATGGGTTCAAGCGATTCTTTTGCCTCAGCCTCTCAAGTAGCTGGGATTATAAGCGCCTGCCACCACACATGGCTAATTTTTTATATTTTTAGTAGAGACAGGGTTTCACCATGTTGGCCAGGCTGGTTTTGAACTCCTGGCCTCAAGCAGTCCATCTGCCTCCCAAAGTGCTAGGATTACAGGCGTGAGCCACCGTGCCCAGCCACGCATATTTATTGATTCATTTATTTTTCTTTTTTTTTTTTTTTTTTTTTTGAGACGGAGTCTTGCTCTGTCACCCTGGCTGGAGTACAGTGGCTTGATCTTGGCTCACTGCAAGCTCCGCCTCCCGGGTTCATGCCATTCTCCTGCCTCAGCCTCCCGAGTAGCTGGGACTACAGGTGCCCACCACGACGCCTGGCTAATTTTTTGTATTTTTAGTAGAGACGGGGTTTCATCAGGTTAGCCAGGATGGTCTCGATCTCCTGACCTCGTGATCTGCCCGCCTTGGCCTCCCAAAGTGCTGGGATTACAGGCGTGAGCCACCGTGCCTGGTGATTCATTTATTTTTCATGTTTCATTTCCCTTCTAAGGAGATTTGTGTGTGTGTGTTTTTTGTTTTTTAATAATTTTAAAACATTAAAGGGAATACAATGCCTTTAAATGTAGTTGGAGCTTAAAATTACCTGCCCAAGATCTTGGATAAGGGATAAGTTTGTGAATAATTGTTATTCTCTTTTTTTTTTTTTTTTTTTTTGAGACAGTCTCACTTTGTAGCTCAGGCTGGAGTGCAGTGGTTCGATCTTGGCTCACTGCAACCTCTGCCTCCTGGGTTCAAGCAATTCTCCTGCCTCAGCCTCCCAAGAGCTGGGATTACAGGCACGTGCCACCATGCTCGGCTAATTTTTGAAGTTTTAGTAGAAAGGGGTTTCACCATGTTGCCCAGGCTGGTCTCAAATTCCTGAGCTCAGGTGATCCATCTGCCTCAGCCTCCCAAAGTATTAGGATTACAGGCGTGAGCCACCGTGCCCGGGCCCATAATTGTCTCTTAGTTGATAAACAGTTTATTTTCATAAAACTGTTACTATACTTTTTTTTTGAGAGCATGTCTCACTCTGTCGCCCAAGCTGGAGGGCAATGGGATGATCATGGCAGCTTTGACCTACTAGGCTCAGGTGATCCTTCTTCCTCAGCCTCTTAAGTAGCTAGGACTACAGGCGTGCACCAATATGCCTGGCTAGTTTGTTAAAAGTTTTTTTGTAGAGATGGGGTTTTGCTATGTTGCCCAGGCTGGTCTTGAACTGCTGGCCTCAGGCAGTCCTCCCACCTCAGCCTCCCAAAGTGTTGGGATAACAGGTGTGAGTTGTCATGCCCAGCCAAAACTACTTTTTGAATAATTAATGGACTTGATATACATAGTGTAGAGGCTTAAAAATATTAACAAAATTATTGGTTAGCCATGATCAATATCAAGATCCTGAAAAGCCATATATCTGGAGTAGCCTATTATTATCTAATGATCACCTAGTATCTGGTTAAGTGTTTTCTTCATAGTAGGTATATCTTTTTTGTGTGTAGGGAGAGGATAATGGGTGATTTTTATTTTCTCCTTTTTCATAGTGGATATCTTGACCTACGTGGCTTGGAAGATAAGTGGTTTTCCCAAAAACCGTGTTATTGGAAGCGGTTGCAATCTGGATTCAGCCCGATTCCGTTACCTAATGGGGGAAAGGCTGGGAGTTCACCCATTAAGCTGTCATGGGTGGGTCCTTGGGGAACATGGAGATTCCAGTGGTAAGCATAAGTTATTTTCTTTTTGTTTTTGAAAAGATTATATAAAAAGTCGATGGGCATTATATTATTCAATTAGAGCCTAATCAAATATCCATTCAGTAGGATGGAATGGTTTCCCGAAATCTAGCATTTTGTATAATTATATGTTAAGAATTGTTAAGATTGTTGCCATTTTATATGGCATTTTATGGCGAGGGGGACGGGAAATGAAATTTCTCTTCTTACCATGGATATCTTAAGACTGTAGTTCTTAGGATGTCTTCAGTCATTTAATATCACAGCTGTTTATACCTGACTTGTACTGCCTGGCCCTGAAAAGATGAGCAAATCCAAATGCACAAAAGTTATATTATCACAGTTGAAAAATGTTATGATTAGGTTCTGTATGCTAAGAAAACCCCCCTTATGTTCTCATACTATCTTTATATTTCAAATATACATGGGTTAAACATTTCAATTGGCTAGAGAAACAGGTTAGAATACAGTTAAAATTCTTAGTTTTACATAATGTAAGTAAATGAAAATCTAATCTAAAAGTGAGTAATGACTACATTAGTAGTCTTGACCATCTACCAAAATTGAGTATTCTTCCTCCGAAGATAAGAGAATTAGGAAAATGAATCACAATTACTAATCTGTTGGTACATGAAAATAAATGTAGTCTGTACTATTTCTTTTAGTGCCTGTATGGAGTGGAATGAATGTTGCTGGTGTCTCTCTGAAGACTCTGCACCCAGATTTAGGGACTGATAAAGATAAGGAACAGTGGAAAGAGGTTCACAAGCAGGTGGTTGAGAGGTAATAAATCTTTCAATTTGGCAACACAGAATATTAACATTTACTATTTTTATTTAAAAGGTTAAAATTGTAATAGTATTTGCATTTGAGAACTTTTTGTTAGAAAACTTGTGTGGTTTTTTTGTTTTGTTTTGTTTGAGACAGAATCTTGCCCTTTCGCACAGGCTGCAGTGCAGTGGCGCAATCTTGGCTCACTGCAACCTCTGCCTCCCGGGTTCAGGCGATTCTCCTGCCTCAGCCTCCTGGGTACCTGGGACTACAGGCATATGCCATGACGCCCGGCTAATTTTTTGTATTTTTAGTAGAGATGGGGTTTCACCATGTTAGCCAAAAAAAAAAGAATGTGCCTCACCTTGCAAGGCCCAGGCCCTAGGATCACTTGAGCTCAGGAGTTCAAGGCCAGCCTGGGCAACAGGGCAAAACCCTGTCTCTACAATAAATACACAAATTAGCCAGGCATGGTGGTGAGCACCTGTGGTCCTAGCTACTTGAGAGGCTGAGGCAGGAGGATCGCATGAGCCTGGGAGGTCAAGGCTGCAGTGAAGCGAGATCCTGCCACTGCACTCCAGAGCCTGCTAGCCTGGGTGACAGAGTAAGAGCCTGTCTCAAAGGAAAAAAAAAATTATTGAAATAGGGAAGCTTTCAACTTGGTGGCATTATTTACCTTTGTGGTCCTGTGTGGACCTCAGGTCTATAGAATTAAAAAATGAATCATAGCCGGGCATGGTGGCTCATGCCTGTAATCCCAGCACTTTGGGAGGCCGAGGCAGGCAGATCACGAGGTCAGGAGATGGAGACCATCCTGGCTAACACGGTGAAACCCCGTCTCTACTAAAAATACAAAAAATTAGCCGGGCGTGGTGGCAGGCGCCTGTAGTCCCAGCTACTCGGGAGGCTGAGGCAGGAGAATGGCATGAACCCGGTAGTTGGAGCTTGCAGTGAGCCGAGATCGCGCCACTGCACTCCAGCCTGGGCGACAGAGCGAGACTCCGTCTCAAAAAAAAAAGAATCATAATCTTTAGTTCATAACATATTCTTGTGATTGGTCAAGCAAGGCCCTCTTGTTTGTATTTGTTTAATTAAATAAAACCTGTGAACCCACCACCCAGCTCAAGAAAGAAACACAATATCTGTCAAATAACATTGTTGAATCAGAATTTAGTATTCTGCTGGTGTTTGGAAATAAGTGGATTCTGTGCTCTTTCCCCCAGCTATCCCTCTGTCCCCCTCACGCTCCCACTTGAGATAATCCTGAGTTAAGGATGCTATGTTATCTTGGATTTCTTTTTAAAATTCAATATTATATTTTTAAGAATTATCCAATTTTTTTTACAAGTAGCTATAGTTTATTTTTTGATAGCTGTGTAATATTCCATTGTATCAGTATACCATGATTTATCCATTCTTCTGTTGGAGGACATTGGAAAGATTGTCATGTTTTTGCTGTTACTAACAGTACTGTTAATGAATATCCCTGTACATAATATCCTAGCATACATGTGTGCAAGGGTTATTCTTGGTATAATGCAACATTGTGGCATTATTTACTGTAAAATGTGTATTAATGAAAACTTTGTTTTTCTTTCTTTCTCCCACCCTGCTTTTTCTGCCTTTACCTATGGTTTCCTATCATACAGTGCTTATGAGGTGATCAAACTCAAAGGCTACACATCCTGGGCTATTGGACTCTCTGTAGCAGATTTGGCAGAGAGTATAATGAAGAATCTTAGGCGGGTGCACCCAGTTTCCACCATGATTAAGGTAGGTCTATGTAGTGATACGCTGCATTTGAATGCTTTTTGCTGGCTTTTTAAAAAAGATTCTTCTGAGAAAGATTAATACAAGTCTTCCATTACTGACTTAAGTGAAATAAATTAATGTACCCACAGCTTACCTTTTTTGAAAGAAATGGTTGAGCTTTAGGATTAATGTCCATTAGGCCTGTTCAACACATAGATACTTGATAATTTGACTACAAAAAAGTCTTGTTCAATTATGCTGAGGTAGGTGGAAGACTATAAAAGAAATAAACTATTTCTCCATTGGGGAAAATAGAAATTATATTCAAGTTAGCATTATGTTACTATTTTTAATGACTTTCTTTTATACTATTAATTAAATCATAACTGAACACCTGGAAAGGAATTTCTACTTATCAAAGTTTTTTATTTTTTTGAGACAGTCTCCCTCTGTCACCCAGGCTGCAGTGCAGTGGCCGATCTCGGCTCACCGCAACCTCTGCCTCCCAGGTTTAAGCGATTCTTCTGCCTCAGCCTCCTAAGTAGCTGGGACTACAGGTGCGTGCCACCACGCCCGGCTACTTTTTGTATTTTTAGTAGAGATGGAGTTTCACCATATTGGCTAGGCTGGTCTCGAACTCCTGACCTTGTGATCCACCCGCCTCGGCCTCCCCGAATGCTGGGATTGCAGGTGTGAGCCACCGCACCTGGCCTCAAGTTGTATTTTAAAATCTTCATAATTAGGCCACACACAGTGACTGACAGCTGTAATGCCAGCACTTTGGAAGGCCAAGGGCAGGAGAATTGCTTGAGCCCAGGTGTTTGAGACCACCCTAGGCAGTATAGTGAGATCTTGCCTCTGTTAAAAAAAAAAAAAAAAAAAAAGGCCATGTGCGGGCAGCTGATGCCTGTAATCCCAGCACTTTGGGAGGCCAAGGGGTGGATCACCTGAGGTCAGTAGTTCAAGACCAGCCTGACCAACATGGTGAAACCCTGTCTCTACTAAAAATACAGAATTAGCCAGGTGTGGTGGCAGGCGCCTGTAATCCCAGCTACTTGGGAGACTGAGGCAGAAGAATCACTTGAACCCAGGAGGTGGAGGTTGCAGTGAGCTGAGATCGCACCATTGCACTCCAGCCTGGGCAACAAGAGTGAAACTCCATCTCAAAAGAAAAAAAAAAGCGGCTGGGCTCTGTGGCTCATGCTTGTAACCCCAGCACTTTGGGAGGCCAAGAGGTGGATCACCTGAGGTCAAGAATTTGAGACCAACCTGGCCAACATGGTGAAACCCCATCTGTACTAAACATACAAAAATTAGCCAAGTGTGGTGGCGCACGCCTGTAGTCCCAGAAGGCTGAAGCAGGAGAATTACTTGAACCCTGGAGGTGGAGGTTGCGGTGAGCTGAGATCGTGCCACTGCACTCCAGCCTGGGCGACAGAGCGAGACTCTGCCTCAAAAAAAAATTAAAAAAAAAAAGCTTTATAATTATAGAGACTGTAAGTCTTGGGAAACCTGGGAATGCATAGACAAAATGTGAGATTTTTTTTTTTTCATTTCATCTTCAGGGTCTTTACGGAATAAAGGATGATGTCTTCCTTAGTGTTCCTTGCATTTTGGGACAGAATGGAATCTCAGACCTTGTGAAGGTGACTCTGACTTCTGAGGAAGAGGCCCGTTTGAAGAAGAGTGCAGATACACTTTGGGGGATCCAAAAGGAGCTGCAATTTTAAAGTCTTCTGATGTCATATCATTTCACTGTCTAGGCTACAACAGGATTCTAGGTGGAGGTTGTGCATGTTGTCCTTTTTATCTGATCTGTGATTAAAGCAGTAATATTTTAAGATGGACTGGGAAAAACATCAACTCCTGAAGTTAGAAATAAGAATGGTTTGTAAAATCCACAGCTATATCCTGATGCTGGATGGTATTAATCTTGTGTAGTCTTCAACTGGTTAGTGTGAAATAGTTCTGCCACCTCTGACGCACCACTGCCAATGCTGTACGTACTGCATTTGCCCCTTGAGCCAGGTGGATGTTTACCGTGTGTTATATAACTTCCTGGCTCCTTCACTGAACATGCCTAGTCCAACATTTTTTCCCAGTGAGTCACATCCTGGGATCCAGTGTATAAATCCAATATCATGTCTTGTGCATAATTCTTCCAAAGGATCTTATTTTGTGAACTATATCAGTAGTGTACATTACCATATAATGTAAAAAGATCTACATACAAACAATGCAACCAACTATCCAAGTGTTATACCAACTAAAACCCCCAATAAACCTTGAACAGTGACTACTTTGGTTAATTCATTATATTAAGATATAAAGTCATAAAGCTGCTAGTTATTATATTAATTTGGAAATATTAGGCTATTCTTGGGCAACCCTGCAACGATTTTTTCTAACAGGGATATTATTGACTAATAGCAGAGGATGTAATAGTCAACTGAGTTGTATTGGTACCACTTCCATTGTAAGTCCCAAAGTATTATATATTTGATAATAATGCTAATCATAATTGGAAAGTAACATTCTATATGTAAATGTAAAATTTATTTGCCAACTGAATATAGGCAATGATAGTGTGTCACTATAGGGAACACAGATTTTTGAGATCTTGTCCTCTGGAAGCTGGTAACAATTAAAAACAATCTTAAGGCAGGGTGCAGTGGCTCATGCCTATAATCCCAGCACTTTGGGAAGCCCAGGTGGGCTGATCACTGGAGGCCAGGAATTGGGGACCAGCCTGGCCAACACAACAAAACCCCATCTGTTAAAAAAACAAAACAAAACCAAAAAAAACAAGTAACCTTGGTGGATGTCTACTCAAGTTTTCTGCACATTTTTCTGAAAATACAACTGTGACCCTTATCCAGGCCTGAAAACCATACTTGTAAAGGTTAACTGAACAACATTATTGTCATTCCCAACTCCAGGATCTTTTTCCAAAGATTCTTTCCTGAGAGCTAGTTAAGGGAAGGAATTATCTTAAAGCCTGGTTGTCCAATCTTTTGCTTTCCCTGAGCCACATTGGAAGAAGAATTGTCTTGGGCCACACATTAAATACACTAACATGTGCCAGCTGTGGTGGCTGACACCTATAATCCCAGCACTTGGGGAGGCTGAGGCGGGTGGATCAGGAGTTCAAGACTAGCATGGCCAACATGGTGAAACCCCATCTGTACTAAAAATCGAAAGATTTGCCAGGTATGGTGGCCTATGCTTGTAATCCCAGCTACTTGGGAAGCTGAGGCACAAGAGGCTGAGGTGAGAGGATCGCTTGAACCGGGGAGGCAGAGATTGAAGTGAGCCAAGATGGCACCACTGCACTCGAGCCTGGGCAACACAGCGAGACTGTCTCAATAAAAATTAAAGAAATTAACACTAATGATAGCTGATGAGCTACAAAAAAGTTCATGATCTGGATACCTGCTGCCACCTAAAGAGTCCTCACATTCAAAGGGTTGGACACAGCTATAAAGCGTATCGTTCTGTGGATTTTTAGTGTATTCACATAGTTGGCAACCATCACCAGTATCTAATCTTAGAATATAGGCTGGGTGCAGTGGCTTCAAATTCCCAGCACTTTAGGAGGCCAAGGTGGGTAGATTGCTTGAGCCCAGGAGTTCCAGACCAGTCTGGGCAACATGGCAAAAGCCTGTCTCTACAAAAAAGAAATTAGCTAGGCGTGGTGGCAGGTGCCTGTAGTCCTAGCTGCACAGGAGGCTCAGGTGGGAGGATCCCTTGAACCCGGGAGATAAAGGTTGCAGTGAGCCAAGATCCCACCACTGTACTCCAGCCTGGGTGACAGAGTGAGACCCTGTTTCAAAAAAAAAAAAAAGAATATTTTAATTAGCACAAAAAGAGGCCTGTACTTAATCCTGTAGCCTTTTGTAAACTTTGAGTCACCTTCAGTCTTTAAAATTTTTAAATTTACATTAATTTTATATTATTTGATACAATAAATTAGTCAATACCAACATGACTGAAAAATAATATTTAAGTGAAATAGACTGATTCTATTAATCTTTCATGAATTTTCAAATGCAATCTTGTAAAGTTTCCTTACTTATGGGCAAAATAAATGTTCCAGGTTCAGTTTGTACCTTCCTGCCCCAGGCAAGGAATAGGCCAACTCTGCAAAGAAACTTGATTTTTTTTTTCCATAGTAACCTTGGGAACTAAATTAAGCAGGCCTTATCCCCATCTCACAGAAGTTGCCAGTTAGTGTAGAAGCAAATGTGATGCTCAGAACATGGTTCTACTTCCTTTTTTTCCCCCACTAAAGCCCATGTTGCCAAAATAAAACTCAGTACTTCAAAGCCATGTTCTTTAAAAATTCTTTAAATTTTTTTTTTATTTTGGCCAGGTGCGGTGGCTCACGCCTGTAATCCCAGCACTTTGGGAGGCTGAGGCGGGTGGATCACAAGGTCAGGAGATTGAAAACATCCTGGCTAACATAGTGAAACTCCATCTCTACTAAAAATACAAAAAATTAGCTGGGCATGGTGGCGGGCGCCTGTAGTCCCAGCTACTCGGGAGGCTGAGGCAGGAGAATGGCGTGAACCCGGGAGGCGGAGCTTGCAGTGAGCCGAGATCGGACCACTGTACTACAGCCTGGGCGAGACTGCGAGACTCTGTCTCAAAAAAAATTATTTTATTTTATTTTGTTTTTATTTTTGGGGGTAGAGATGGGGGTCTCCCTATGTTGCCAGACTGGTCTTGAACTCCTGGGCTGAAGCCTCGGCCTCCCAAAGTGCTGGGATTGCAGGAGTGAGCCACCATGTCTGGCCCAAAAATTCTTTAGTGAGTACCTACTATGCTTTGGTAAATGTTGCAATGTACAAGAATAAATAAAGACAAATTTTGGTTCTAAAGTTACTGCAATCAAGTAAGCAAAATGTTAAGTAAGTTTGGAGTATTTGGGCAGGCATGGATGAAGAGCCAGTTCTAGTCATCTAGCATCAGTTTGGCCACTACCAAGCTGATACCTTCCTTGGCCGCCAGGGGCCTGAGGCAGGTGTAGAGCTTAAATTTCCAGTCCATCCAGGCCAGCAATCTCCCTCTCAGCCCGGGGATAAATGAGGTTGCTGTGGAGGTATAGGACCAAGTGGTTGCTGCTCCTGTCTGCTATAGGAGGCCTCTAGCTTCAGGCTAGTTGCTGGTTGAGAAAAGTGCCATAAGAGAGAGATATACAGGAAATGATGGTAGTTGACATTTGTCAAGGAAAGCCAGAGTATGTATGTGCAAAGCTGAAAATGAGGAATTAACCTTGAGAAGGGCTGGGGAAAGAGCTTTCTTGGTTTAAAGAACAGCAAAAAGTCCTGATCCAAAAAAGCTGTCCAAAGCCTAGTTGGAAGGAAGTGTATTGAGTGTCCTGAGATGATATGGGAAGTGGGGGTAGGAGGCCAAATCTTGAAGATCTAGGTTGTGGTAAAAGTGGGTTACTCTACCTGTAATGGAAAGCCACGGAAGAGTTTAAAGCAGGGTTATTGCATAATCTGAACCATATTGAAAACAAATACTGACTGGGTGCGGTGGTTCACGCCTGTAATCCCAGCACTTTGGGAGGCCGAGGTGGGTGGATCACTTGAGGTCAAGAGTTCGAGACCAGCCTGGCCAGCAAGGTGAAATACAAAAAAATACAAAAAAATTTGCCCGGCGGCTGGGCACGGTGGCTCAGCACGGTGGCTCACGCCTGTAATCCCAACACTTTGGGAGGGCGGATCACTAGGTCAGGAGTTGGAGACCATTCTGACCAACATGGTGAAACCCCATCTCTACTAAAAATACAAAAATTAGCCGGGCGTGGTGGCGCACGCCTGTAGTCCCAGTTACTTGGGAGGCTGAGGCAGGAGAATTGCTTGAACCCAGGCGGCGGAGGTTGCAGTGAACTGAGATTGTGCCACTGCACTCCAGCCTGGGCGACAGAGTGAGACTCTGTCTCAAAAACAACAACAATAACAACACTACAGGCTATTATAAGAAAAATAAATTATATTTTGGATTTTGAAAAAGGTTCAAATGCAAATACTCTACAAAAGATGGAGTAGGTTGTGTCCCCTTCTGTGAGATATATATCTCTCTCACAAAAAAAAAAATATATATGTAAATTTTTTTTGAGATGGAGTTTCTCTCTTGTTGCCCAGTCTGGAGTGCAGTGGCGCGATCTTGGCTCACTGCAACCTCCGCCTCCTGGGTTCAAGCGATTCTCCTGCCTCAGCCTCCCAAGTAGCTGGGACTACAGGCATGCACCACCATGCCCGACTAATTTTATATTTTTAGTAGAGACGGGGTTTCGCCATGTTGGCCAGGCTGTTCTCAAACTCCTGACCTCAGGTGATCCACCTGCCTCGGACTCCCAAAGTGCTGGGATTACAGGTGTGAGCCACCGCGTCCGGCCATGAGTTATAAATATTAACAATTTCTTGCTGTAAATTGAAAGCATCCTTCGCGTCTTTGCGTTTCATTACCACCCTCTGTTCTCTCAAGAGAAATTCTAACTTTATTTCAGCACTCAGTCCTGAAGTTACAGAAGTTAATAATTTTTTAAAATCCTGCAAACAATGCATGGATATCCCCGTCTTGCACACTCTTTGGGCCAGTCTAGAATTCTTCCCATCAGCATTTCGGTGATCTGGACCGCCGCCACCCACACTGCGCTCCAGGGCAGAAAAGACGCCCCATGCCCGCGCCTGGGCCGGCGGGGGGCGGAGCTTGCGTGCTGACGCATAAGAGCCGAGCGGGGGAACGTGCGTGTCTCGAGTCGCACGGAGGGCAACCGTCGACGGGCTTAGCGCCTCAACTGTCGTTGGTGTATTTTTCTGGTGTCACTTCTGTGCCTTCCTTCAAAGGTGGTGCTTTGTCCCTGTGGGTCATCTGTACTGATTGCGCCAAGCAAAGCATTTGTGAGCGTGTGGTGCTGGGGTGAAAGTGGTGGCTGGGGGCAGGGAGAAATCCAAAAGCCCGCTGGTGCCCCAGCCCTCCCATTGCCTGGTAGACTGGGCCTTGCTTTACCCTCCCCGCATCCTTTGACCAGGAAATTCTTTCTTTGGCTTCCCCCCATCCCCGGCTCCAACATTCTGCAAACTGAAGAGGTAGTTTCTTAGATGTTCAGTGTGGTTAATCCAATGAAATTGCATTATCCCTATCAGGTTCTCCAAATGTCAACTGTCAAGGAGCAGCTAATTGAGAAGCTAATTGAGGATGATGAAAACTCCCAGTGTAAAATTACTATTGTTGGAACTGGTGCCGTAGGCATGGCTTGTGCTATTAGTATCTTACTGAAGGTGAGTGAGAAGCCCATCCTGTGGCTGAAAATCAAGTGAGCACTTCAGAGTGTTGTATATGTCGATGTATTCAGGGTTGCAAGGTTAATCCCTTGAAAGCAATTATGTATCCTTTGACCTTTCCTCCCTCCCTCCCTCCCTCCCTTCCTTCCTTCCTTCCTTCCTTTTTCTTTCTCTCTTTCTTTTCCTTTTTTTTTAAACTTCTTCTTTCTTTTCCTTTCTTTTTTTTTCTGACTTTCCTTTTCTTTTTCTTTTTTTGAGACAGGATTTGTCTGTTACCCAGGTTGGAGTGCAGTGGCGCGATCTTGGCCCACTGCAACCTCCACCTCCCGGGATCAAGCGATTCTCCTGCCTCAGCCTCTTGAATAACTGGGGCCACAGGCATGCACCACCAGGCCTGGCTAATTTTTTATATTTTTAGTAGAGATGGGGTTTCTCCATGTTGGCCAGGCTGGTTTCGAACTCCTGACCTCAAGTGATCCGCCTGCCTCGGCCTCCCAGAGTACTGGGATTACAGGCATGAGCCACCACACCTGGCTGCCAATAGGTATTGTTTTTAACCCTTGTGCCCTCCTCCCTCTCTGCTTTTGGAGTCCCCAGTGTTTATTGTTCTCTCTTTTTTTTTTTTTTTTTTTTTTGAGACGGAGTCTCGCTCTGTTGCCAGGCTGGAGTGCAGCGGCAGGATCTCGGCTCCCGGCAACCTTTGCCTCCCGGGTTCAAGCAGTTCTCCTGCCTCAGCCTCCTGAGTAGCTGGGACTACAGGCATGTGCCACCACGCCCAGCTAATTTTTATATTTTTAGTAGAGACGGGGTTTCATCATGTTGGCCAGGATGGCCTTGATTTCTTGACCTCGTGATCCGCCTGCCTCAGCCTCCCAAAGTGCTGGGATTACAGGCATGAGCCACCACGCCTGGCCTTAAGTAGGGACTTTTACTTCTTTCCCTTACTGTTCGCTTTTGGAATCTGGCTATTGAAATCTGAATGAATACACTCCTTGTATATAGTTCCGTACTCTGTCACATGTGACAAAAACCCAGTTTAAATTAGGGTAAGCAGAAAAAGACGAAATATTGTTCATGTAACTGGAAATAGGGCAAAACTGCTTCAGGTACTACCGGATTCTGAAGTTCACACATATCAAGACATAGTCTTTGTATATCTTGGTTTAGATTTTCTCTGTTGGCTTAATTCGTAGAGCCTTTCTATGTGGTGGTAAAGATGGCTGTACAGTTTGTTCTTAGATTCTTGTTTTTTCTCCAACTCTACAGTCCTTACTAATGTTCTTAGATTTGCATGTTATTCTTAGAGCTTATGATTCCAAAGAAAAGTGAGATGTAATCTTCCGTCTTCCATTTTCAAACTTCATAGACATGCTTGTTTCTTATACCTGGGCCATATGTCCACTTATGAACTGATTTCTGTGACCAGAAGGAAAGGATGGAACAATTGGCTAGGTCTGGTTTTATGCCCATCTACCCTAAGCTTGGAAAACCAATGTTAATTGTACTGCACTGAAACATATGGAATGGGTTCCCATGGAAAAGAGAAATTCTATTACCAGAAAAAGGGACACTAGACAGATGAAAACAATAAGTGTTCATCAGAGGTGGTTACCTTCCTGTTTGGGCCATAACGACGCATACTAAAAGCAGCTTTAGCCAACTCAGAAATTAGGGTTAAGGTTAAATATAATAAAATCCTGGCCGGGCGCAGTGGCTCAGGCCTGTAATCCCAGGACTTTGCGAGGCTGAGGTGGGTAGATCACTTGAGGTTAGGAGTTTGAGACCAGCCTGACCAATATGGTGAAACCCCGTCTGTACTAAAAATACAAAAATTAGCCGGACATGGTGGCGGGCGCCTGTAATCCCAGCTACTCGGGAGGCTGAAGCACGAAAATTGCTTGAACCTGGGAGACGGAGGTTGCAGTGCCCGAGATTGTGCCACTGCACTCCAGCCTGGGCGACAGAGTGAGACTTCATCTCAAACAAAACAAAACAAAAAACACAAAAATAAAGGCTAAATATAATAAAAGCCTTTGAAATCATTTTATTTTCCTTGGTTTCAAACTGTTATCTGAATGGCAAAAAAAAACAAAAACAAAAAACACCCAGCTCTAAAAAGTTCTAACAATTATATGAAGTCAAACAATTTTTGCTACATCTTAATATTTACTTACCTTGACTTTCGGTCACCCAGGCTCATTGAAAAACTATTTTTATATCATTTTTCCCTATTAAAATATGAGATTCCTTTAATTATCAAGTAGCCACATGAAAATTCTTCTTATTCTCCTAAAACTTAAGTAGGAACATTTTATTCAGAACTTTTGTATATTTTAGGATTTGGCTGATGAACTTGCCCTTGTTGATGTTGCATTGGACAAACTGAAGGGAGAAATGATGGATCTTCAGCATGGCAGTCTTTTCTTTAGTACTTCAAAGATTACTTCTGGAAAAGGTTAATTTTAGTTTTATAAAGTTATTTTCAAAGCTTTTTAAAAAAGTAATAAATTTTACCAAACAGATGTCAATAAATATAAAATTAAAAATAGCACCATGCCATTGGGCCATATAATTTAATTTAGTTGATCAATTTTTTTTGTTTTTTGAGAGAGTCTCACTCTGTCACCCAGATTAGAGTGCAGTGGCGCGATCTTGGCTCACTGCAACCTCCACCTCCCAGCTTCAAGTGATTCTCCTGCCTCGGTCTCCTGTGTAGCTGGGATTACAGGCATGCGCCACCACGCCTGGCTAATTTTTGTATTTTTAATAGAGACGTAGTTTTGCCATGTTGGCCAGGCTGGTCTCGAACTCCTGACCTCAGGTGATTGGGCCATATAGTTTATTTTTATTTATTTATTTATTTTGAGATGGAGTCTCGCTCTGTTGCCCAGGCTGGAGTGCAGTGGCACAATCTCAGCTCACTGCAACCTCCGCCACCTGGGTTCAAGCAATTTTCTTGCCTCAGTCTCCTGAATAGCTGGGATTACAGGCATGCGCTACCACACCCCGCTGATTTTTGTATTTTTAGTAGAGATGGGGTTTCACTATATGTTGGCCAGGCTGGTCTCGAACTCCTGACTTCAGGTGATCCACTTGCCTCGGCCTTCCAAAGTGCTGGAATTACAGGTGTGAGCTGCGGTGCCCAGCCGGGCCATATAATTTAAAAAGTTAATTTTTTTAAAAAGAACACTTCGATATAATTGGAGCATATTTGGAAAACAGAAAGTATAAAGAAAAATTGAATCTCTTCTATTAATGACTTTATGTAGGTTTTCTAAGCTTTTGTTTTCTTTACATAACTGATGTATAAATGCTTTTAAGCTTGTCATTTTGTCTTATATATTTTCCCAAGAATATACAATCTTGAAGAGTTTCTGTAATATTATTAATACATTTATCCATATTCTTTAGTTTTCTTTCTATGTTTATAGTGAACCAGGTTTCAAGGCATAGCATGAGGCCATAGAACATAAGAAATTTAGAACTTGGCCTCATTGGTGTTAGCATCATCTGTTGACCAACTAAGAAGCCTCAGATAATTAGGAAACATAATTATTTTATCATACACTAAAGTATATGGTGCACTGTTTGGTAATGTGATTCAACAGATATACTTTCTACTAGAAGCCCTCTTATCTAACATGATTGAGATTGAAGGCAGTTACCTAATTTAAACATGCTTCTTAGAAAGAGCCATGATAAACATTTTATATCGACCTAAAACATACACATGTAGATAAAAGTTCATTTGCTGATTTTCTGGTTGTAGGGCAAGGCCTTTGAGTACGGCTCAGCTGATTAGAGTTTTGCAGTGCCTTCCCATCCCTTCCCCCTTCCCTTCCATCTTCCCCTTCCCTTCCTTTTCCCTTTCCCCTTCCTTCCCCCTTTCCCTTCTCCGTTCATTTCATTCCTCCTTTCCTCCTCTTCCCCTTTCCCCCTCTGATCCTCTCCCCTCTACTCACCTCCCCTACCCTCCCCAGCCCTCCATCCTTTCCTTTCCTCTCCTCTCCATGTTGCCCAGATTGGAGTGGCTATTTATTTACTTATTTATTTTTGAGACAGAGTCTTGATCTGTTGCCCAGGCTGGAGTGTGGTGGTACAATCTCAGCTCACCACAACCTCCACCTCCGAGGTTCAAACGATTCTCCTGCCTCAGCCTCCCAAGTAGCTGGGACTATAGGTGTGTGCCACCATGCCTGGCTAATTTTTGTGTTTTTAGCAGACACAGGGTTTCACCACGTTAGCCAGGCTGGTCTTGAACTCCTGACCTCAGGTGACCCGCCTGCCTTGGCCTCCCAAAGTGCTGGGATTACAGGCGTGAGCCACCGCACCCGGCCTGGAGTGGCAATTTAT
Source organism: Homo sapiens (assembly GCF_000001405.40). Lineage (NCBI taxonomy): Eukaryota > Metazoa > Chordata > Mammalia > Primates > Hominidae > Homo > Homo sapiens. The sequence goes on from NW_021160006.1 coordinate 168,652, forward strand.
AGGCATGGTCTTAGCACACTACAGTCTTGAACTCCTGGGCTGAAGGGGTCCTCCTGCCTCAGCCTGGCAAGTACCTGGAACAACAGGTGGTGTCTTTCTGAAAGCACATCAATAATGATCATTTAGATTGCTTTAAAGTACTACAAGAAATTTAAAAGTGTTCATGAAGCAGTCTGGTTATAAAACCTTACTAAATTTTATGACTTTATTTATTTTATTTTTGGAGACAGTTTCACCAGGCTGGAGTGCAGTGGCATAATCATGGTTCACTGCAGCCTCGAATTCCCAGGCTCAGGTGATCCTCCCACCTCACCCTTCTGTGTAGCTGGGACTATAGGTGCACAGCACCACACCCAGCTAATTTTTAAGAAATTATTATTTGTAGAGATGCGGTGTCACTCTGTTGCTCAGGCTGGTCTCAAACTCCTAGGCTCAAGCAGTTGCAGGTGTGAGCCACCACGCCCAACCCATTTTTATCCCTTTCTCAAACCTAGAAGGACAATTTTTAAACAATTTGCTTTTAATGTCTTCCCAGGGATTAACTTACTTTTCATAGAAACAATTATTTTTAATATTAATTATGGAATACTTGATAGAGAAAAAGAGATTAACAATAATGTAACATTGGGAGGCTGATGTAGGAGGGTCGCATGAGGCCAGGAGTTTGAAATCAGCCAGAGGCAACATAGTGAGACCCTGTCTCCATTGTGCCTGTAGCCCTAGCTTTGCGAGGCTGATGCAGGAGGATTGCTTGAGTTCAAGGTTGCAGTGAGCTATGATTGTATCACTGCACTCCAGCCTGGGCACAAAGGAAGATCCTATTGCTAAAATATATATAATAATATAACAAACATCAGTGCATCTACCACTCAGCAAAAGAAATAAAACATTACCAAGTCAGTTGATACATTCTGTATATTCATATCTTCCTGTCCCTAAATCTCAATGTTGAATGTGGTGTTTACCTTTACCAAACATTTCTTTCACACTGGTATTTAGTGACTTATATTATCTTTAATTATATATATAATAATAAATACATAATTATATTTGGGTACAAATATGACTAATTCTTGATATGTAGCAACTAATGAGCAGAAGTACATAGACATACTAGATAGTAGTTTACTAGTTGAGAGTGTTTAGTATGTCTGGGGTATCAGTATGTTTTGTATCAGTTAATTTGGTGGATTGGTTAAATGGAGTCAAATTAAAAGAGTATTACTATTTTATTTTATTTTATTTTTTGAGATGGAGTCTTGCTCTGTCACCCAGGCTGGAGTGCAGTGGTGTGATCTCTGCTCACTGCAACCTCCACCTCCCAGGTTCAAGAGATTCTCCTGCCTCAGCCTCCCAAGCAGCTGGGATTACAGGTGCATACCACCATGCCCAGCTAATTGTATTTTTAGTAGAGACGGGGTTTCACCATGTTGGCCAGGCTGGTCTCGAATGCCTGACCTCAAGCGATCCACCTGCCTCGGCCTCCCAAAGTGCTGGGATTATAGGTGTGAGCCACCGCACCTGGCCATATTTTAAAATACTTGAAAACATATTCAACTTTCAATTTCTAATAATATGGCAGGATAAATACCTGGATTAATCTTTTGCTGTAAATGAGAAAACTCCTGCATAAAATATGAAATAAAAAAATCAATCCTTGAGAAAGAATATGTTCTTAACAAAAAAGTAAGGCATTTTCACAACAGGTACTGAATGAAGTGAGAAAACCAGAGAGTTAAGCAGAGCACTGCAGCTCTGATTGCTCTTTTTACCCTGATAGCATTTGCCAAACATGGTGGACATCAATTTTGGTTTTCACTGACTCATAAAATTTAGGAGACCAGAGACAGAGCTTGGGGATTTGGGGAGATCACCCCACAAACCTGGTGCCCTAGTGGACTAAGCCAGGGGTTACTAAACTTTTTCTGGGAAGACTCAGATAGTAGATATTTTAGGCTTTTCCAGCTATGTAGTTCCTATTATACCTACTCAACTCTGCTCTTACAGTGCAAAAGGAAGCCACAGACAATAATACATAAGCAAGTGGGTGTGGCTCCAGTGAGACTCTATTTACCAAACACAGGTGGTAGACCAGATATCGCTTGTCTGCCAACAGTAGTTTACCATTGCCAGAACTATACCGTTAATGTAATGATGATCTACAAATAATTATTCTCTCCCTGCCTTTGGGGACTACAAGTAAAATTGAATGTCTTAGACACTTTAGTGGGGGAATATACCTGCTAAGGATTTGGAACCACAAGCTGGCTCTTATTT